>NC_000012.12:72763158-72914673 GCF_000001405.40 Homo sapiens
GCACATGAATAACGTTCAACATCACTAATCATCATGGAAATGTAAATCCAAACCACACAATGAGATATCATTTTACCTCAATTAGAGTGGCTATTTTTTTTTTTTTTTTGAGATTGAGTCTCTGTCACCCAGGCTGGAGTGCAGTGGCAAGACCTTGGCTAACTGCAACCTCCACCTCCTGGGTTCCAGCCATTCTCCTGCCTGAGCCTCCTGAGTAGCTGGGATTACAGGCACCTGCCACCACGCCCAGCTAATTTTTTGTATTTTCAGTAGAGACGGGTTTCACTGTGTTGGTCAGGTTGGTCTCGAACTCCTGACCTCAGGTGATCTGCCCGCCTTGGCCTCCCAAAGTGCTAGGATTATAGGTATGAGCCACCACGTCCTACCCTAGAATGGCTACTATTAAAAAGACAAAATATAATAGATGTTAACAAGGATGAAGAGAAAAGGGAACTCTTATACACTGTTGGTGGGAATGTAAATTAGTACAGCTCTATGGGAAACAGTATGGAGATTTCTCAAAAAACTAAAAACAGAACTACCAGAAAATTCAGCAATCCCACTATATGGTATTTATCCAAAGAAAAGGAAACCATCATATCAAAGGTATATATATACACCATCATACCAAAGGTATATATATATATAGTATTATGTATATATATACTACATAATACTATATATATAGTATATATATATAGTGTGTGTGTGTGTGTATATATATATATAGTATTATATATATATAATACTATTTGGCCATTAAAAAAAGGAACCATATCATTTGCAGCAAAATGGATGGAACTGAATGTTATTATGTTAAGTAAAATAAGCCAAGAACAGGAATACAAATATTGCATGTTCCCATGCATATGTAGGAATTAAAAATAGACAGCATGGAAGTAGAGACTGGAATGGTAGATACTGAAGGCTGAGAAGGGTGTATGGGTGGAAAGTGAGGATAAAGAGAGGTTGGTTAATGGGCACAAACATATAGTTAGAAGAAATAAGTTCTAATGTTTGATAGCAGAGGAGGATGACGATAGTTAACAATAGAGTATTGGGTATTTCAAAATAACTAGAAGAGAGGACTTGAAATGGTCTCAACATATGGAAATAATAAAATACTGGAGGTGATGGCTTGATTGTTACACATCCTATGCGTGTAACAAAATGTTACATGGACCCCATGTAAATATACAAATATTATTTATCAACTAAAAACACCTCAAAATAATTATCCAAGTACACTATATGAAATATATTGGCACCAACTATATTTTGTGAAACTTTTATGGTTATTAGGATTGAAATCAAATTTTGATGATTAGTTAAGCTGAGATTCTAAAATGACTAACTCCACACTCAGCTATATCCAGGTAGAGCATTTTACATTCTGGACATCTTCTTTTCCTGATAAAGAAAAGCCCCAAAGTCTCCAGGTAATTGGCAGTTTATTTTTATAAACAATGTCTACAAATAGGTGATAATTTAAATCTAGTTTATTTGGTATCATTGCATGAGAATTCACATCCTGTCCAGGAGACGCCTTAGTCCTGGCATGACTTTCCATGGCATGATAGAGGTCCACATACTCTTTCTGACTCTGCCAAATTGGTTTTTCTCTCTCCAAAGAAATTAGTTCATAACACACAATTGAAATTGTAGGATTCATCTTGAACCCTTGCGGTGGCAGTCTTGAAAAATCCCATCTTGGCTTGGCAGTTAAGTTACTGGCTTGAGGCTCTACATATGGTGCTACTCCATGAAACATGACTTTTATTTTTTATTTATTTATTTTTATTTATTTATTTATTTATTTATATTTTTTTTGGTGAGACGGAGATTTACTCTTGTTGCGCGGGCTGGAGTGCAATGGCGTGATTTCGGCTCACCGCATCCTCCACCTCCCAGGTTCAAGCGATTATCCTGCCTCAGCCTCCTGAGTAGCTGGGGTTACAGGCATGTGCCACCATGACTGGCTAATTTTGTATTTTTAGTAGAGACGGGGTTTCACCATGTTGCCCAGGCTGATCTTGAACTCCTGACCTCAGGTGATCCGCCCGCCTCGGCCTCCCAAAGTGCTGGGATTACAGGTGTGAGCCACTACGCCTGGCTGAAACATGACTTTTAATAAAGATATTTTTGAAGTGTGATGAATTGATGATACATTAAAATATATATTTCGAGTCAGGTTGATTTATTCCACAACCATTCAGTAGACACTGTCCATATGCTAGTCACAGAACCAAATCTTGACTTCTACTCTCCAAGTAGAGTTTGCAGTGCACCTGAACTGGTTTTGATTCCTCCTTGTATGAACTTTAGCAGCTTTAGATATTTCTTAATATCTTTAATCTCCAGTTTCCTCATTTATGAAATTAAAATATTATTACCTTATTCACAAGTGTTTTTTTAATTAGGTGAAATAATACTTGAAAATTCCTAGCATGTTGCAAAGTTAATCCATTCAATAAATGTGGGGGTTGTTGATGTTTGGAAATCGTCTTGAGTATAAATTCCAGATTTTTATCGTATGGTCTATGAAATTGGACTGTGTTACATAGAAAGCAATTTGTTTTTTAATTTGTTACAAATTATTTAACTCATAGGTGGTATGTAGTTAACCAAGAGAGCTTTTTATGCAGGAACTAATGTAAGTAATTTAGAGGTATTACTCCCTGAATCTTTATGAGTTATATAAAATTGATCTCTGTCTTTTACAGATAAGAAAATTGAGTCTTAAGAAAATTCTGTTCCACAGAGTTTCTCTTACCATTACACAAGACTGTTGTGATAACTAAGTGTGCTAGAGTAGCAAATATGTACAGCACAATGCTTAGAATATCATAGAAACTGGAAAAATATTTCTATATTTCTAACTTCTGTCTAGTAATAGTCTCAGAATTTTTTTTTTAATCTAGAAGTGTTTGGTCTGTATCCAGAGAAGCAATAAGTACCCATAAGGTTTGCAAAGACATTTGATATCAAATAATGAGATTCATGACAAAAAACACTTTTACTTCAGTGTGGTACTAAAATATGTACACTTCTTTCAAGGGTCACACTTCTGAATCCTTAACTAATGCTACATCCCTAGGAGCTTAAAGATGTGAATCCTTAAGTTAGATAAAAAATAAAAAGGCAAAATTTATTACAAAACATATTTGAACTACATTTTCCACTGGGATAAAGTTACGGGTTATTGTACAATTATAGTTTCTCCAGGCAGTAGGTCTGTAAACACAAGTTGTTTAGAGCAACCAGAAACAAAAATCATATTTCAGTGGTATTTCAAGTAAAATTCCCCCTTCT
Source organism: Homo sapiens (assembly GCF_000001405.40). NCBI lineage: Eukaryota > Metazoa > Chordata > Mammalia > Primates > Hominidae > Homo > Homo sapiens. The sequence goes on from NC_000012.12 coordinate 72,766,471, forward strand.
CCTTCCCAACACTGTGAAAAAGGACTATGTCTTAAAGGAGAAATTTCAAATGCCACTGGAGACTTTTGAAATAGTGGAGGTTACATGAAGAGTGCTTTACCATAGGATCTTTAAACACAGGTCCTGAATGGTGACCACAGTATATAAATGGAGAGATAGAGAATTAATTCTTCGTACAGTGGAGCAGAAAACTCACATCTGTTCTTTCTACAACCCAGTACACCCCATTTATTAATGCTGTTCTCTGCACTGTCAGGTCTAAGCAATTAACTTGCACAGACTGGCTTCTGTGGGGATAGATAGATGGTGTGTTTATCATGAGGAATATACTCGTTTTAGCTCCTTTAATAGAGAAAAAGAAATAAGATGTCTCCTGTGTTCTGTCTAGACTGAGGACATTGTACACTTGCAATCATGGGGTAACAGAGATATTACAGCCATGAGGATACCTCAGTTATCCTGACTTGATTATTACACATTCTATGCTTGTGTTGAAATATCACATGTATCCCATAAGTAGGTATAATTGTTGTGTATCCATAATAATAAAAAATAAAAAATTAAAGTTGCAAAAAAGCCTTGGGAAATTTTAGCACCAAAGTAATATTCAAAATTTTAAGTAAGAGATATAAGTTTAGAAGGATTTTTAAAAAATCAACTAGGAATAGATCATTTTGAGTGACAGCCTATATAGTTATTTTAGTTTCTTGGTGAATGATTCATTTCTAAATACATTGGTTACCACCATCACTAGGGGTATTTTTCTAAATATATTGGTTACCCACATCACTGAATCTGGAAAGCAGAAAAAAAAGAAAATGATTCTGTCATTGCCATTAAACATAGCAACAGGAATAGATATATATTCACATCTGCTCCTCCTCTGAGGTACTATTCTATTAGTTCCAATGGTTTTATAAATAAGATGATGGTGTATTTTGTATGGATTCCAGGTTTCGTGGTCAGGAAAAATGGCATATAATCCTATTTTATCCTACATTTTCTATTTTATATTTCAGCTTTATTTTCTAGCTCTTCCACAGATAGAAATGTGTATTTCTTCCTAGTTACATTAATTTTGATTGAGAGACAAATGCACAAAGTTAGTCACTTTCTCTTTCTTCTAAAATACTTTTGTTCACAGGCTTCCACGAGATCACACAAATTCTTGTTTTCATTCTATTTCAGTAGTCATTCCTTCATCTCTGTGATGGAGCAGTCCAGGATACCAACATGGAGTAATCCAAGGCTCCAACCTCAGATCTCTTTTTTACCCACACTCACGGCTTTAAATATTATCTATATGCTGGTGGCTCCCAAATTTGTGAAACACATTTTGGGATTCTGCAAATTGCCCAATTAACATCTAGTTTACATGTAAAGTAAACACCTCACATTTGCTATACTCAAAATTAGACCCTTGATTCTTTCCCAATTCTTCCCCACCCCATAGCATAATCCTCTTCTCTTAGTGTTCCCAATTCCAGTAATTGGTCCATTCATTCACCCAGTGCTGACCTGGTAACCTTGAAAACATATTTCTTTTTTTTCTCTCATCTAATCTGTTATCAAAATCTCTTCAAAAAAGATCCCAAATCCTACTACTTCTTATTTATTTTGCCATCACCTTACCCACTTCGACCTATGCAATATCTCGATCAAATCACTTACCTATTCAAATTCTCCAGTGATCTCCTATCACATTTGGAATAAAATCCAAAAGGCAGCACATGATCTAATGTCCCACATGCCTCCAGTGACCTTAGAGTTTCTCTCCTACCACTCTCTCCTTACTTTCCCCGCAGAAGCCACACTGGCCTCTGCTTGCTCCTGCTTCAGGGCTTTTGCATCAGCTGTTTGCATTGCTTAGAATGATTTCTCACCACATAACTGTCCTGCTCATTCCCTCACTTTATTCCTATCTCTGTTAAAATGTCACCTCCTCAGGAAAACTTTTTCTAACCATCTTTCAGAAGTGTATCTCCATTATTTTTGACTTCTAAGCATTTCTCACTGACATTTTAAGTTCATTTGCTCATTGACTGTACTTACATTAAAATATAAAAGAAGGAACTTTATTTCATTTCTTTACTATTTCAATGTACAGAATTATACCTGGTGTATATTAGTGCTCAATTAATATGTGTTAGATGAAAAAGTGTACAACGAGACTATTGTATCTGCAAAAATTTTATTTCCGAGAAGGCCTCTTTTCTGTCACGTAGCTTCATTAACAGTTAAAGTTTGGTTAATGTTTACTTACTGAGATTATTAACAATTAATAAAACGTGATTTATAAAGTATTCCAAGCTTAATTCTCTTAGTCTGTAGTGAAAAATATTTATAGTATTATGAATCTCTTTCATTTGGTGCTGTGTAGACATAGCCTGAAACTGATAATTTACCAAGCGCTATGAAGTTTTGTTGCTGGAGCAGATCGCGAACAAAGCTTCTGAGAATATAATTGGCCAGGTTGCCTTTGAAGCTTTTCAAACAATAAATAAAATACTATATGGCAGAGAGAAAGAGAACTATACGTAATAAAAAAACAGAATAGAGATTATTTGTAAAGGTTGGAAGACGTCATGTGTTCCACAATATTTGTTCATTGATTCCCTTCCTCAGTGCTTTCTAGAGTTTCTGATTTGAGGGGATAATTTACGTGCAATTTTTCTCTAAGTAAATGCGCTATCCTCTCCAACCGAGACTTAGGATTGTGTGCAACACAGCCAGTTTATACATAGAGAATGTCGAAATGAAGCATGACTAAGAAGGAACTCTCTCCAGAAATATCTTGATAAACCCCATTGCTCCTTCCGCTGCATTTTGCTTTGTGACATTCATAACTTAGTGGGAATTAATTTGTAAGACAAATTACATCCTGACAAATACAATAAATTTCTGTCTGGATGACTTGACAGAATATTGAACTACGTATTTGTTAGAAAGTAATATTAAAAATAAACCTTACCAATAAGTCCTATTTCTGTCTCATACTTTTTCTACTTCTTTTTTCTCAAACATGGATTGAGTTCATTAAGAAAACACAAGAAATTTTAATAACTTCAAAACACATGAAGCAAAAAGGGACACCCTCTTGGCTCCAAAGATTCATGTCTATTCCACATGAAAATATATTCACCCCATCTGTAGGTTCCCAAAAGCCTCAAACCATTCAGCATCAACTCAAGTCCAAAGTCTTGTTTAAGTCTCGTAAGCTCAAGAGTCCCAGATCTCATAGTGTAAATCAGGTATGTGTGCAACTCTTAATCCATCATGGGGCAAAATTCCTCTCCATCTTTAGAGTTGCAAAACTAGAAATCAAGTTACCTGTTTCCAAAATATGATGACAGGAAAGGCAAGGATAGTTGTTATGGATATTCCTACTCAAAAAGGGAGAAAATGAAAAAGAAGAAAGAAGTTATCAGTTTCAAGAATTTTGAAATCGCAGCAGGGAGATTCCATTAGGTTTCAAGGGCTGGGGATAATCCTCTACTTTGAACAGCTCTTTCCTGTGAGCTCACAGCTCATCCTCTGAAGCCATTCTTTTCGTAAAATGAGCAGTACATATTTGCAGATGAGTTGTTTTATGGGCCCGTTTCCTGACTATAGAATTTTGGAAGTTTAGCAGCCTTCTTTCATTCTACCCACTCTGTGTCCCTTTTAGTCCAGTTTGTCAGTGCTTCTGCTGTTACAACATTCCCAGAATCTTGTGAATCTCAAATGTATGTCATAGATATTTATTCTATTAGACAAGAGGCTCCTCCCCATATGTTAAACTGGATAATAATATCTCTTATTTTGGCTTCTTTTGAAAGACTAAAGAGGATCTATGGGTCAAGTCATATGTCTAAACTCTTTAAAGAGCCTTCTCTGTAATTGAATACCGTGAACTTTGGATATTGCCAAGGCATTAGCAAAAGGTTATCCAGTCACACCCTTGGTTTTCACTCCAGAGCACATTTTCATGATGATGAGTTTCCGAATTTTTTATTCTTTTGCAATCTGTATTGGCTGAGAGTTTCCCAAATCATCAAGTCTTTCTTCTTCTTTTTTTTTTTTTTGCTTAACAGTTCTTTCTTCAATTTATTTCTTTCCTGTAGCATTTTACAACAAAAAGCAAGAAAAAAACAGACTGCACCTTCAACATTTTGCTTGGAAACCTCTTCAGCTACACATGCAAGCTCATTGCTTTAAAGTTCTGCTTTCACACAACTGAAGAGCATAATTCAGCTAAGCTTTCTGCTTCTATGTAACAAGGATCACTTTTCCTTCAGTTTTCAATAATCTATTTCTAATTTCCTTCTGAGCACTCACCAGCAGAGACATTAACATTTGTATTTGTACTAATTTTCTTTTTATGACAATGTATTTTTTCTCTAAGAAGATATAGGCTCTCTCTACCATGCTCCTTACTTTATTCTGAGCCCTCACCAGCAACAGCTTTAAGGCCCATATTGCTAGCAATAGTCCACACAAAACAGCAGAAACAGATGCCAGACAGGAGAGATGCTAAGATGCTGGCTTGAAATGTAGAGAAAAGAACCACAAGTCAAGGAATATAGGTGAACTGTAGGAGGTGAAAAAGACAAGGAAATGGATTCTCCCTTAGAACCTCCAGAAGAAATATAGGCTTGCTAATACCTTTATTTTAGCCCAGTGAAGCTGATCTTAGATGTGTGACCTTCTTCACTGTAAGATAAATTTGTATTAAGATATTATGTTTTTGCTAACTTATTATAGTAGCAGTAGACACCTAATAGAGTTCATGTAACTGATTTTGTGTTCTATGTTTATTATTTCTTAGTATATATTTTTGTCCCTGACAGACCATCTAATTCCTAATAAATGATTCCCTTGAAGTGACCCCCTTATAGAATTTGAGGTGAGGGTTGTGAAAGAAGAAATAAAATAGAATAGTGATTTGTAAAGTAATAGTATAGGTTCAAGGAGCAGGCTGCCTGTGTTGGAATCCCAAATCTACATTATTGCTATGTGACCATATAACTTTATTTAATTTCTCTATGCTTTAGTTTCTTTATATGTTAAATGATGATAATAATTATATCTACCTTGTGGGCTTGTTTTGAGTATAAATGAGATAATCTATGTAAAGTTTTGGCATAGATTGGACACACAGGAAAGTTTAGGTAATATTTTTCTCCCATTTAGTACGTATATTTTCGGACTTAAATATTTTTTTTCACAGGATATAGCCATACGATCTGTTTCCCTGCACCAAGCTAGATATATGAATTTTTACAAAGTGAAAATACAAATCAATAATATATAAAATTATTCCAGACCTGCTTTAGGTGGAGGAGACTGGAAAATAGACAGCATCTCAATATCCAAAAGTGGGGGAAGATGTGGAACTCAGATGGGAAAAAACATCCAAGGGAGATTTAAATGATGAAGATAAATTTGAGGGATTTCCAAGACTTATCCCATCTTTTCCCCTGTCAAAAACATAGATCAAAAGCATTTCATTGGTAAGTGAACGTGTCCATACTTTCCAAGTTTGTAAGTATGTTAATCACATAGCACATAGCATAGGCATAAATCTAACCATTATGCATTCTAAAAAAAAGAGTGAACAACTCTTAAGTGTCAGATACTCTAAATTTGCTTTTATTTCCCCTAATTCAATGCTGTATCTTTTTTTGGTGTATTACAAGCCTACACAGAAAGTACTTGATAAACTCTACTTTTCTTATAGAATATAACCAAGCCATCTTCTCATGTTATCTCTTCCCCACTCAGCCTACTTTACAGCCATTAGAAATGAAGTTTCAGTCTCTGAATGTCATATTTTTTCAGGCCTCTAAGATTTAACACAAGCCATCTTCTCATGTTATCTCTTCCCCACTCAGCCTACTTTACAGCCATTAGAAATGAAGTTTCAGTCTCTGAATGTCATATTTTTTCAGGCCTCTAAGATTTAACACTGTTCTTTTCCCTTCCAACGTGATTTTGCAACCACTTTACATATAGAGGTAGAACCCATTTCCTCTCTCCTAAATCTAATAGCCTTGTGTCTTGCGTTAGTCAATAGACACAGGTTGTTATACCTGTGAATAAACCTGGCCTAGTCTGCTGGAGTATGAGAGACTACATGAAACAGAGACTAATAATCTGAACTGAGGCTCTCCTGGACCAGCCGAATGATTTACCATCTGCATGTAGCTGTCTAAAAGGTTTAATCAAGTAACTCTGTCTCAGATCAATAGAAATAATTAGCTGATCCATAAACTTATGAGCAATACAATCCCTTTTGTTTTAAACCACTAAATTTTGCAGTGGTTTGTTATGTAAAAATTACTAATAGATATGCCTGTCTATCTCATTAGACTGTAAGTTTCTTTAAGACAAGGAGCATGTCAGATTCATATTGGTGCTGAAAATTGTCTTGTTCAATGTTGTACATATTTGTTTAGTTTTTATTTAACTTTTGCATGCTAGTAATATTTTCTTGACCAATATTTTCTACTTCTGAAGTCATTTTTTATCATTACAAAACAACTTTTGGGGCGAATATTACCTTCTATTTTCATTCAGACTGTGGTAGAATCTTGTCAGTTGTTTCTACTTTTTATCCTACAGTTAAAAATAAGTCACTCATTCAACATTTGCATAAACTTTCCTTGTGATAAATATATGTTTTTTCTCTGATTTTGGTCATTCTCTTTTCTGTTATAAAGACTATGATTGACTTTCTTCTCTGGCCACTTTATGCTACGCTAAGCTTTTAAAATATATTCAATTTCTTGCCTTGTATTTCTTATCTTGTCTACTTCACAGATATTATTTCTATTTATTTTCCTTTGCAGATGTCATGGTAAACAATATCACAAGTCTATTCTATCTTTCCCACTTCCTGATTTCTTCTCCTGCATTCTCAACACGTATTATTTCATTCTCTCTGAATCTGCCTGCAAACAGACCAGATCATCTTCTAATGCCTTTTGAAAAATGTGTCTTCAAGGAAAATGTTTATCCCATACAGGATACCTGGGATCTGATTTTTATCTTTTAGCTATATTAGTCCTCTTATGATTTTTGTATGAGTTTTATTATCTGAATGCTTGCAGCTACATAAATTGGATCCTATTTCCCCATCCATTTCAAGACTGCTTTAAGGCTCACACTCACTAAAAAAGAAAAGCTACATTACACAGCTACAACTTGAATATGCAGAGTCAGGTTCGTAGGAATTAAAGAGTCATGTAGCATTAACTATACAATATAAAGTAGAGGAAAAACTTGTGGACATAATGTTCCATGTTGTCATTCTCTACTAAACTTTGTTCCTATTTGCCCCCTGCTGAAAGTAACATTAAGTGCAGTATAAGTCATATTTATTAGTCAGTACATACAAAAATACTAAGAACTCATAGGCTATGGTCTCTATAATACCTGGAAAAATGGAAGAGTACAATCAACTATTCTTCATGTAATATTTGTATTATGAGGTTAAGTACCTAAGAGGACAGTTTGGATGCTACAAAATTTATCAGGGCCCTTAGAAAAATAAAGAAGAACAAAGTTTCTGTAGAGAATTACAGTGGCTCCTGTTGCCAAGAAAATCCTAGGAATAATTTTTATTGTAGCATCTTTTCACAGGAGGAACTATGTTTATGATTGTTGGGTCTCAGATTACCAGGGCATTATGATGGAAGGCACTATGGTGATGGTGGATGAAAAATGGCTGGCAGAGGCTCCAACTCCTTTTAGCTAATGAGAATATCAGCAAAGATCTTGCAGGCTGGCTTTCACTTATGTTCTAGAGAGTAGATTAGGGGTCAGGATAAAAAGAAGCAGATGGTTGCTGGAATAGACTTCATGATTCTCAGATAAAAACAGCTCTTATAACTTACTTTTTGTGGAGTAAATTATTTTAAAAAGTTATTTCTTTTGAGATTGCATTTGAGTTAAAAAACATTTTTTACTTATCTGCTTCTCACTGGTACATAAGTGTAAAAAGTAATCAATACTTTAAACAGGGTAAATTTAAATTATAAAACAAAAATAATAAATTTAATTTGAGTTTATGCAAATCAAGATCAATATTCATTATTTTATTATTATGAAAATAACAAGTCAAATTCTAGGTAGAGAAAGAATGATAGGAAATAATGAAGATATTATTTTTGTTTATTTCAGAGTTGAAAATATTACTGAGATCAGTACTGATGTCTAGGCAAAAAGAAGACTTCTATTATCTTTAAATCATAATGTATTAGCTTAAGCCTTCAAACTAAAATAACTCTGACGCAGATGAGCTGAGATGTAGCACTATTACTCCTAGTTAAAAGATGAAGCTGACATCATCACAATAACCTAAAACTGAGAAAACAAAATTGGGAGTAAATGTTCTATGCTCTAAATAATGGTTAGTGCTTCTGAATTTCGACTACTTGGTGAAAAATTGGATGTCAGAGTGGCACAACTTTGGGAGGACCTAAAAAAATTACAAAAAATGAAAATGTTTAGGCAGGAGACACATTTCTGTTTTTTGCTTCTTGTTTCTCTTGACCTCCAAGTCTTTCATGTCTTCATTCTTCATTCTCTCTTCCTCCTTTGCACACTTGGATCCTCTGGTGTTTGCAATCTTTTCAGCCCTCTCGTCAACACCTTCTCACCTACAGCAGGTTATTCTTGACTTACGTCTATTTTTTTTTCTTTTTGTAGCCTAATGGATGTGAGAGGGTAAATCTTTTTCTCTGCTCAGGGAATACATTTAAATTTTAGCAAGGGTTTTCTTGTAAAAAAAAAAAGTCAACTCAAGGAAGTGACTAGTTTGGCGATGGGAAGGAAGAGTTTTAGTCAGTGTCATGCAAGTAAGTGACATTTTTGTTGTTGAAAGGTAAGGCCTTGAGATTTCTCTGAAATTATAAATCATTGAAGCAATTGCTGCACTTAAGTCAGATCAATGTTGCTTTTCCAATGTTTTTAGGTGAATTTATCTCAGAGATATACAACAGAATCCTTTGGAATTCAGATAGTGTAAGGTCATAATGACGACTTACAATTTAGTATAGTATTAAACCTTGAACAACATGGAAGTTGAGTGTGCCAGTCCTCCACACAGTTGAAACTCTGCCTATAACTTTTGACTCCCCCAAAACTTAAACTACTAGTAGCCTACTGTTGACTGGAAGCCTTACTGATAACATAAATAGTGAACACATATTTTGTATGGTATAAGTATTATGTACTATATTATTATAATAAAGTAAGCTAGAGAAGGAAAATGTTATTAAGAAAATCGTAAGAAAGGGAAAATCTGTTTACAATTTATTAAGCGGAAGTAGATCCTCATGAAGGTTTTCCTCTTCATCTTCATATTGAGTCGGCTGAAGAGGAGGAGAAGAGGAGGGGTTGGTGTTGCTTTCAGGGGTGGCAGAGGCAGAAGTGGAGGAGGTGGAAAGGGAGACAAGAAAGAAAGTCACGCTTGGTGTAACTTTTATTGAAAAACAATGTGGCATAAGTGGACCTGTGCAGTTCAAACCTGTGCTGTTCAAGGGCCAACTGTACACTAAGATCTTATTTGAAACCCATTGAAAAAGAACTCTACATGGCATATTCAAGTCTAAACAGGGACCCTAGAGGAGATAGATAGATAGATAGATAGATAGATAGATAGATAGATAGAGACATAGAGAGATAGATGATAGATAGATAGATATAGATATAGATATAGATATAGATATAGATATAGATATATAGATGATTTAGATATTTAAGACAGAGTCTCGCTCTCTCACCAGGCTGGAGTGCAGTGGCCTGATTTTGGCTCACTGCAACGTTTGCCTCCCAGGTTCAAGCGATTCTCCTGCCCTTCAGCCTCCCGAGTAGCTGGGACTACAGGCATGGGCCACCACACCCAGCTAATTTTTGTATTTTTAGTAGAGACCAGGTTTCACCATGTTGGCCAGGATGGTCTCGATCTCTTGACCTCGTAATCTGCCCACCTAGGCCTCCCAAAGTGCTGGGATTACAGGCATGAGCCACCGCGCCTGGCCGAGAATATTTTTAAGGCATATGAAGTGATTCGGTGGGATGAATTAGACCAGTTAAGTGGTCTTTTCCAAACTTAATATCAAATAATGTGAAATATGTTCTATGCTGCCTTAACTTTATAAAGTGGCCTTAGACCTAGCAGAGCAATTAGGCACTGGACTTTGGCCGAATAATTTTTTAAAAGCACAGGCCATACGTTGTTGCATTAACAGTAGTTCTCAGGCAATATTCAGACAATCTCACTGCTTCTTGGATAGTAACTTATTCTCTTCTTTTCATCTCCATGTTTTCAGTATGTTAAAAATGTGTTAATTTATCATTTATTTTCACTTTTGTAGAAATAGACAAGGTAGTGAAAGGATAGTAATATCTAAATTCTGGTGAAGAAGAAAATTTATAATATACTTGTTTATGTAGGCATAATATTCATGTTAATATGGGTTTATGATTTTTGACTTTAATAAAATATTTTTGTTACTTTGAAAAACTAATTCAGTACTCTCTCATCCTTCTAACAGAGTTATATGTATAAAGGTCATGTTACATCCCCAGAAAATTTAAATGTCTTAGACTAAGTAGGTGTTACTACTAGTGTTAAAACAGAACGGAAGAAATTAACTACATTGTTAAAATGCAACAGTAATTAAAGCAAACATCTAAGTGAAAGTATTTATAGATCCTACTGATGAGTTTAACAATGTTTCAAACATTCATTTTTAACACCTGTGCTATTAACTGTGGTTTACTAAATATAAGTCTTACCAAATCATTCTTCTCAATCACTGTGATCTAAAACAAGGCTTCATCTTGTGGTAATTATAATAGCTTCATTCTTCATATCACAATTATTTTGAAGTATATTCCATTCTAAGAAAATTAATATAAACATATACATATCAGGATAATTGTTCACAATTTAAAAAACTGTTTCATAAAAAGACTCATGATCACATCTTTGAAAAAAATATAAGCTCTTTCAACACACCTAAGTGTTATTTTACACATCATTAACTGCTTGATAGAGAGGAAGAAGTTGGGAACAGAAGAGAGAAATTTAGAGCTAATGTAATGAAATCACTAATATTTGAATATAAAAACAATATTTACTTGAAATTTATAAAATGGGCCAATAAGGAAAGATGGTTTTATTACCTGGAAATTTTAGAACAACATCTATGGTATAAAGTAAAATAAGTCTTTAGTTTATCTTATTAAAATAATTTAAGGTAGGTAGGTTTTGAAATTTTTCATATCTATCCTCAAGTCAGAATAATAGGTGATTATATATTTTTTTTCATTGCACAACTGTCAGCAGCATTAAATTCTGAGGTATGAGTTTTTATAGATGCCTATGGCAACTTAATACTCCTACAATCACAGGACTGGGAAACACAGATCAACAGCACACTGTGGTTGTAATCAACATGCAGATTAATGAACAGAGCCATATTCACCAGGGAACACTAGAACAAAGACCAGTTGAGCATTTTAATTGCTAAGTTACTGCTAAGTCTCAATTCCCCATCAATCTCCATCCATTATGACCATTGATGCATAGCAGACATTAAGAGGAAAACAATAACATAATGATTCATAAGTGCTAGGGTGCAAATAAATGGTTAGCTCTGGGAAAATCATGGCTGTGATTATTTTGTGGCTCAGACTACCTAAAAGATCTAACCCGTTATTTCTAATTTTCATTGTTCTCTGAACCTGACCTGACTATATTTAATGAGTTGGTTTTAATGGAACTAATAGCACAGTAAAAGGTTAGTTGAACAATCTTTTCTTTAGCTACCTCCACATAGGCTTGAATTGTTCCTTAACTTACTTAGAAAATCACAGCCAGAGAAATTAGAAATAAAAGGATTCATGAAATTATCTAAAATATTATCATCTTGTGAGGGCAAAACTGTTTCACAGTATGATTATGTATTGTTGGTGGAGTTATAACTAGGTACATTCAATGGCCTTAGTCTTTATTTTCTTTAACATTGACAGCTTAGTTTCTATCTTGGGGTTTCAAATAAATCCCCTAGAAGTCGACTTCCATGCAAACTACAGTACTGTTTTCTAATCTGGAAGAAATTTTCCACAGTTGCTTTGAAAGGCATAAAAATTATTATGATGTAGATTCAGCACTGTACTGGAGAATTTACCTGTGCTCTTTGAATCCTTACAACAACTTTTTGATGTAAATAATAAAGTTTGTGCCACATTCTCTACACCTTTCTAAATCCTGGACACTAAGTCTGGACTGACTTTTGGGCATTTTTTTAATCAATCAATTTAGACATTTTTAGCTTACTTACTGATTATACATATGCCAAATATCAACCTACTATTTTTTGGCTTATCTTAAAGGCAGGAACCTTTCACTTCAGTGGAGGATAGCTCTTTAAACTTGTTTTAGTTTACTTCCCTTGAATCTCTGCTCCCTTCTTGGATAGACATTCTCTAAAAGCTACTGCAGTTACATGGCCTCTATCCAGTGGACTTTCCCTGGGAAGCTAGAGCATATCACCAAGTCAGTATTCAGGAAAAGTTATACCTTGATTTATATAGGCTTTTCCTCTTTCATGGACTCTTCCTATACAATTTTAAAAATTTGATCGTCACCACAACCTTGTCAATTGGTTAGCGCAGATACTAGCCTTAATTTGCAAATTTAGAAGCTGAGAGTCACAATGCTGAAGTAAATGTCTAAGGTTTCAGACCAAATTCTTCTGATTCCGGTGTTCTTGCAGTGTTTTATAAGTCAGTGTGGAACATATTACAAAATGGTCTGCAGAGAAGAAACTACCGCAAACCACCATTCTTGCATTCACCCTAGTAGAATGAACTCTACTTCCTTTAGTCCTCTAAGAAATTAGTATGGAATTTTAAATTTCTACTAGATTCCCCTCACAAGGTATCTCCTATATGAGAATCAGAATATTTTCATGTCCCTGGGATGCTAATGTTTAAGGTGGACCTGGCAATGATGTGAGAGTTTAGCACAGAAATTAGTAGTCAGGAGACGACCTTCAGCCCAGGTTTTAACAAATATTTGCTCTAAGACTCTGGGCTAGTAGCTTAGCCTTTCTTGGTGTTATCTATAAATGGAGAGCACTTTTTAGGATCACGTGATTGGACCAGGCCCCTTTGAAAGTTCAACAAAATTAAGCAACCTTACATAAATTTTTATTTTTATGAATTATTAGTTCTTTCAGCTATCTCTTCTTGCCAATCTTTAAAAAATTATCTTCTATTACATTTATGCTAACTTGAGATTAATACATCTTTTCAAGACCTATCTGCGTCTTCGTACAGTGTATGATGTCCTTCTGTGTGCTCCTCTCTCAGAGACTAAGTTGGATCACTGGCCATTTAAAATTGATCATAGTGTAGAAGGTGGCTGGCAAGATGGCAGAATAGGAACAGCTCTGGTCTGCAGCTCCCAGCGAGATCAATGCAGAAGTGCAGAAGGTGGGTGATTTCTGCATTTCCAACTGAGGTACAAGGCTCATCTCACTGGGAACGGTTAGACAGTGGGTGCAGCCCACCGAGGGTGAGCCGAAGCAGGGTGGGGCAGGCATCGCCTTGCCCGGGAAGGGCAAGGGGGTCAGGGAACTCCCTCCCCTAGCCAAGGAAAGCCATGGGGGACTGTGCCATGAGGAACAGTGCATTCCAGCCCAGATACTATGCTTTTCCCAAGGTCTTCACAACCCACATACCAGGACATTCCCTTGGGTGCCTACACCACCAGCGCCCTGCGTTTCAAGCACAAAACTGGGCAGCCGTTTGGGCAGACACCGAGCTAGCTGCAGCAATTTTTTTTCATACCCCAGTGGCTCCTGGAATGCCAGTGAGACAGAACCATTCACTCCCCTGGAAAGGAGGCTGAAGCCAGGGAGCCCAGTGGTCTAGCTCAGCAGATCCCACCCCCACAGAGCCCAGCAAGCTAAGACCCACTGGCTTGAAATTCTTGCTGCCAGCACAGCAGCCTGAAGTCGGCCTGCAGCACTAGAACTTAGTGGGAGAAGGGACGTCTGCCATTACTGAGGCTTGAGTAGGTGGTTTTCCCCTCACAGTGTAAACAAAGCCATCAGGAAGTTTGAACTGGGCAGAGCCCACTGCAGCTTGACAAAGCTGCTGTAGCCAGACTGCTTCTCTAGATTCCTCCTCTCTGGGCAGGGCATCTCTAAAAGAAAGGCAGCAACCCCAGTCATGGGCTTATATATAAAACTTCTATCTCCCTAGTACAGAGCACCTTGGGGGAAGGGGCAGCCATGGGGGCAGCTTCAGCAGACTTAAATATTCCTGCCTGCTGGCTCTGAAGAGAGCAGTGGATCTCCCAGCACAGTGCTTGAGCTCTGCTAAGGGACAGACTGCCTCCTCAAGTGGGTCCCTGACCCCCATACCTCCTGACTGGGAGACACCTCCCAGCAGGGGTCGACAGACACATCATACAGGAGAGCTCCAGCTGGCATCTGGCAGGTGCCCCTCTGGGATGAAGCTTCCAGAGGAAGGAACAGACAGCAATCTTTGCTGTTCTGCATCCTCCACTGGTGATACCCAGGTAAACAGGATCTGGAGTGGACCTCCAGCAAACTCCAGCAGATCTGTAGCAGAAGGACCTGACTGTTAGAAGAAAAATTAACAAGCAGGAATAGCATCAACATCAACAAAAAGGATGTCCACACAAAAACCCCATCCAAAGGTCACCAACATCAAAGACCAAAGATAGATAAATCCACGAAGATGAGGAAAAACCAGTGCAAAAAGGCTGAACATTCCAAAACCAGAATGCCTCTTCTCTTCCAAAGGATCACAGCTCCTCGCCAGCAAGGGAACAAAACTGGATGGAGAATGAGTTTGACAAATTGACAGAAGTAGGCTTCAGAAGGTGGGTAATATCAAACTCCTCCAAGCTAAAGGAGGATGTTCTAACGCAATGCAAGGAAGCTAAGAACCTTGAAAAAAGGTTAGACGAATTGCTAACTAGTATAACCAGTTTAAAGCAGAACATAAATGACCTGATGGAGCTGGAAAACACAGCACAAGAACTTCGGGAAGCATGCACAAGTATCAGTAGCTGAATTGATCAAGTGGAAGAAAGGATATCAGAGATTGAAGATCAACTTAATGAAATAAAGCGAGAAGACAAGATTAGAGAAAAAAGAATGAAAAGGAATGAACAAAGCCTCCAAGAAACATGGGACTATGAGAAAAGACCAAATCTATATTTGATTGGTGTACTTGAAAGTGATGGGGAGAATGGAACCAAGTTGGAAAACACTCTTCAGGATATTATCCAGGAGAACTTCCCCAACCTAGCAAGACAGGCCAACATTCAAATTCAGGAAATACAGAGAACACCTCAAAGATACTCCTTGAGAAAAGCAACCCCAAGACACATAATCGTCAGATTCACCAAGGTTGAAATGAAGGAAAAAATGTTAAGCGCAGCCAGAGAAAAAGGTCGGGTTACCCACAAAGGGAAGCCAATCAGACTAACAGCGAATCTCTCTGCAGAAACCCCAGGGATGTGGATGAAGCTGGAAACCATCATTCTCAGCAAACTAACACAAGAACAGAAAACCAAACACCACCTGTTCTCATAAGTGGGAGCTGAATAATGAGAATACATGGACACAGGTGGGGGTGGGCATCACATACCGGGGCCTGTTGGGGGGTGGGGCCTGGGGGAGGGATAGCATTAGGAGAAATACCTAATGTAGATGACGGGTTGATGGGTGCAGCAAACCACCATGGCATGTGTATACCTATGTAACAAACCTGCACATTCTGCACATGTGTCCCAAAACTTAAAGTATAATAATAATAATAAATACTCAGAGAAGTTCCAAAATAGGATTTATATATAGAATTTATATATTTGTATATAGGATTTGGAACTATATATATGTATATAAACATGAAAATGTATGTTTATATATGTCTATAAAGAGTGAAACAATTAAACTTCTTCTATTAAAAATATTGATCATAGTATAATAATATTATGTACTTTCATTTTCAACCTGAGAGTCATTGAACTATAAACACCATGTCAAGTATCTTCAACCCATGGAATTGGATTTTTAGATTATTTTCCTGCTTGTATATTTATACATTTTTTTCTGTGCTCCTATTTTTAACCTTAGAGTCTCTGTCCTTTGCTGTATGTGCTATACCTTTGAATTAAGAAACATCTGTGAATTTAATTAATGTGCTGTTGATTCCCACCCTTTTCCAAGTCATTAATGAGGAGGTTAAAACAGAACAGACTAGGGTTTATTTCACGTCCCAAGAGACTTTTTTGGAAAAACCTTCCCCATAGCGTTTTTATTTATTTGCATTGGTTTAGAGAATTTATGCTGTATGGAAGTGAATGTATTTCAGAAATACAATATATGAAATGTTAAAGGAATATTTTGATCATATGTTTTTAGTTATGTCTCATAATTTTCATACTTCTCTGATAGAGATTGTACTCTGTGGTTGAGTAGAATATATATTTTGGAGGAAATCAATGAGTTGGCACATGAAGGGGGTAGATCTTGCAGTCAGTGGTATTACCCTCAACATTCTACAAACACATGAACTCTTTGGAATGCAGAATAGCCTGAGATTTCTTCCATGAAGATGTGGGAGGCAGGAAGATACTCTGATCATAAGCATATACAATAATCAATGAACCATTAAAGTTTATGCTATTAGAATTGCTGTTAGCTGAGCAGATACTTTATAAAACCAGAAATTTATATTTATGGTTCTTATATTTATTTTTAATAATACATACACAATACACATATAAGTGTTGATCAAAATTGACAATGAGGAGAGCAATTAGCCAATATACCAACTATCTTCTTAGTTTTCAAGAGCAAAATGAAGTACTGCAGAAAAGATAGGATGTAAAGTGCAGATTTATAAATTGCTCCCTTTCAAAAACACAACTGAAAGTTTTGAATGCCAAAAAAAAAATTAGCTTCAAAATCAGAGAATGATTTTTTTCTTCCATTTATATTGCTTGGACTACCTGCCAAACACACTATAATTTGCAGCAAAAAGAAGGTAAAATCCAAGAAATAGTTTGGACTTCCACAAACACCACTGCCTACACAGACAACACATAAAACATACTTTTCAAGAGTGCTCTACTGCTTCTGCAAATTAAGGAATGACTGGGTGAGGGGCATGGACAACAACAGAAAGAAGGTTATATTCCATTTGGAAGCTACCGTCCTCAGAGCATTATTAATGTCATACTGACATTTTAATGAGAGAATTTCTGGAGAATATATGTGACCAGAGCTTTCCATTAATTTTTTTCTGTCTTCACTCTCTAATAATTGCAGAGTGTATTCAAATAAAGAATAGAATTTCTACCTTACCTGGAAGGACAATATCTAGCATAAAGAGCTGTATTAGTTTCCTTGGGCTTCTATCTAACTCCAACCTTCGATTCCTTCTCCACATGGCCTCATCTCTTTCTCTCTGTGTGTCTCTCCTCTGTATATCCTTGCCAAGACATTTATCATTGAATTTAGGGCCCACCCAGATAATCCAAACTTTTCTCATTTAAGTATCCTTAACTGAATTACATTTGCAAAAGCCCTCCCCTACTTTCCAAATAAGATCACATTCCCAGGTTTGTGGACATATCTATTGAATGCTACCATTCAACTGACTATAAAAGCACAAAGCAGAAGAGTGAAAAAGAATATTGCAAAGTCATGTTTCTTTTTTTTTTTTTTTTTTTTTTTTGAGATGTAGTCTCACTCTGTCACCGTGGCTGGAGTGCAGTGGCGTGATGGCTCACTGCAACCTCCGCCTCCTGGGTTCAAGTGATTTTCCTGCCTCAGTCTCCTGAGTAGCTGGGATTACAGCCACACACCACCACACCCGGCTAATTTTTGTACTTTTAGTAGAGATGGGGTTTCACCATATTGGCCAGGCTGGTCTCGAACTCCTGACCTCATAATCCGCCCACCTTGGCCTCCCACAGTGCTGGGATTACAGCCATGAGCCACCACGCCCGGCCTTCCAAAGCCATTTTTACAACTAAAGGCCATCAACAGCAGGGAACTGCCAGGACAAGATGTGTAGTCACATGAAATTAATAGAATCCACACTTTTCAAAATAAACTTTTTATTGAAATTGGGAGTTTGTCCCAAGGTGGGAAATCAAATTTATTAGAAACCTTAATTAGGTGGTAAATGCTCCCAATTCAGTAGGTTAAACATAACTTTCAGATAGAATTTTAACAAACGTAGAGACAAAGAATATGCAGATATAAAATTCCATAACTGTGGCTGCTGGTGGTCTTAGTTTCTTCTTTATCTCCTTCAGGTTACTGGATAGGTGAAACCTTAACAGCCAGCTCTCCAACTCAAGTTTGAAAGAGAACAGAAAATTTATACTCAGGTGTAACAGATTATAGATATAAATGGAATATACCTACTCTTTCGCAAGTAAATACCAGTTGCTGATTAATTTGCACACTTTCAGAGAGATGTAAGTAGAGACAAAGTCACCCCAACATTGAATCTATTAAAAAATACTGCAACACAAAGAAGGAAAGCAACACCAGCCTGCAAAAGAAAAGCATAGAGCTCACATTAGGAAAACATATACTTCTAGACATTTTTGAAAATGAGATTCATTGAATTCAACAAATACTGAGCTTCCTATTTGTGATAAGCATGTACCAGTGACTGGGATGACAGCAATGAAAGAAGAAAAACAGATAAATACAAATTGGGAAGTTAGAAAATAAAAATAGAATAAGTTTGGCTTAGAAAAGTGCTAAGAAGAGAAATAAAACAGAATAAGTGGAGAGTAAGAGGTGCAATTTTGCATGGGGCAGTTAAGATAGATTGCAAGTGGTTTACACTCTCAAATGGATTATATGAAACAAGAAATAAAACTCTAAATGAAGTGAAAAAGGAGTTAAGAGAACTAAGAAAAAAACTAAAAGGGCAAAACATATAAAATTAATCATTCAAAAAATAGGCACAGGAAACTGCTAAATCAATGCTACCAATAGAAAAATACGGACAGTAATAAAGACGTTTAAAGAATAAGCCAGAATAGAGAGAAAAATGACAATGCTAAAAATAAAATGAATATAAACATTGGCATGTGCAGTGTGGCACCAGCAGGTGGACACTAATTGGTCTTAAAGTGTTGATTCTTAAGTGTCTTCTATTGTACTGCTACAAAAGAATACCATAGACTGATGTCTTAAAAAACAAACTTCTATTTCTAGAGACTAGCAGTCTGAGATAAGGGTGCCAGAAGAGTTGGGTTCTTTGTGAGGGGCCTTTGCCAACTTATGTCCTCTATATCCTCACATGGTCTTCCTTGTTGCCTGTGTGGAGAGAGAAGAAAGAAATCTTGCGCCTCTTCCTCTTTTTATAAGAGGACTAATTCTGTTTATGAGAGCTCCACCCTCCTGGCCTAATTGCCTTCCAAAAGCTCCCCTTCCAAATACCTTCATATTGGAGATTAGGTTCCAACATATGAAATTTGGGGGACACAAACATTCAGTTCATAACACTAAGATTTCTTCCGCTTTTAATGTTTGAGGCAACAAGGACTTGAACCAGTGTGATGGTTAGGGAAATGGTAAGACCAAGTTGGAACTTTTGTGTTAAATGCTATCCTTCAAGACTTCTTGCACATGTCAATTTATATATACAACCTTTTTGCTCTGCTTCATCTCTCACTGAAGTAAGGCTCTTGAACAATATTGAAAAGATTTTTTTTTAAATGGGACACTACTTGAGGGCAAGATTGGAGTCTCCTATATTTTTATCCTCTGGACAGAGCATGAATCAGAATAAGTGTTAGAGTAAGTGCTGAAATAAGAACTATAAAATATGTCAAATACTGGATGAAAAAAATAATACTTTGATTTTTATTTCAAAGCACACTCTCATACACAGCTGCACTTTAAATGAAGGATAGTAAACTTAACTAAATGCCTCACCTTTGCAGTAAGAAAACTGCCTTTGAATCCCCAATACCTTTTACTAGATGCCTAATTCAAGGAAAATTAATTTGCCTATTAGTCCTTCAGTTTTATTATCTGTAAATTGGTCTTTTGTGAGGAACCTGGCATATAATAAACACCCCATAAACAATAATCCTGACAGTGGCTATCTACTATTTTTATCTTAAAGCTGGGAAAACAGATATTCAGAGAGTTTTGGTGACCTGTTAATGTCACTGAGTAGGTAGGTAACTCAGGAAAGGCTAGAATCCAGATGCTTAGATTTCTAGTTTAGTTTTATGTACACATTATGGGGGGAGGCAAGGAAGAAGAAGGAATTGATAGTGACCATAATATTGTATATGTATTTGAATGATAGAATCTTGATTTTTAAATGTCATAGAGGAATCTTAACATAAAGACTTTTTAGGGAAACAAAGTATGGGATGGATAATGAGTTTGATTTTTGGAAAGTTGAATTGGAAATTTTGCCACTAGATAATAATAGAGATGGCCATATCATGCTCAATGGCTTTTCATTGCATGAGCAATAAAATATGAAGCCCTTTCAATGGCCTAGAAAATGTAGGTTAACTGCATCATATCTGTGTATATTGTGTTATATCTTCCTTCTTTGATCGCCTTTCTCCGTTTTCTGCACACCTCTTTCTTGACATTTTGGGATTATGCCGGGCCTGTTTTTATAATCTGTAACAGGCTGCTCTATCTTCCTAAATTGCTTTTCTTCCCAATGTTTGCATAAATATTCTTTCCCCCAGCTTCACTTCATGAAGATTATTTTCAAAGACCATCTCCTCAGAAAGGTCTTTCATTATAACCGTCTCTATAATGCCCATCACCTTTACTATCTCTCCTCTTATCTTGCTTTGTTTTTCTTCAAAGCAGTTGTCACAAACTGAACATAAGTTACTCTGTGTGTGTGCATGTGTGCATGTGTGTGTGCACGTGTGCAGAGGCATGTGTGTCTGTTTCACTAGACTGTAAACTCTATGAGGATAGGGGCTTTGCCTTGCCATCACTATATCTCCATACCTTTAGTACCTGACATTTACTAAGTGCTCAATAACTGTGTGTTGAATAAATAAATATGTAAATAAATACGTGAATGGCACAAGCATTTAAGACTAATATCCTCCACCAAGATGTAGTGTTGGTGACTGAGATGCCTTATTCATGCCTTACATCTTTGCTTTTCAGTTGCTTGCTTAACTCATACAGAAAAAGTATAGGCCTTCTCTGTTCACATTGTTTTTCACAATTCTTAAAATATGGACTCCCCAGTAGGGAGGAAGCACAGTAGCACAACTTATCATGCACACACACACACACAAAATCTAACCACCCAAATCCCATTTCATTTCCTTTTTGTGCATCCTTCTTCAGTTAAATTTTTTAAACAGTCAACACATTACTATATTAAAAACAAATACAAAATCTTTTAAGTAAAGACTGGGTTAAAAATCTGTTTGTGAATGTGAGGTTGCTTATTATGCTTTCTCTGCTCTCTTTAAATAGGACTCAGTCAGCTCAATTAGTTTATCAAACACTGGAAAATCCCTAAGGTGTCTAAATATAAGCAGCATCATTTCCTGAATATTTAATTCCTAAAAACAGGACGATAGTCATAGTATTCACATTCTCTAATCTACTGTGTTCTGGAAATCTTGTAATCAATGATATAGCAAGAGAAAAGTACCCTTGATTCCCAGACATGTTTCAACATTTACAAAATGTATTGCTTAGAATTTCATTTTTCTTCTTTCACTTCAGGCTGGCATATTTTCAGAATCTAGATATTTGTTTTAAGAAAAAACTTTTCTGAATACTCCAACAAAGCAGGAATAGCATCTGTCTTATTCAGAATTTATCAGAAGGCCTGGCATAAAAGAGGATTTAATGTATATCTGAGGAGTAAAGGAGTAAATAAATGTATACTACATGAAAGAATAAAAGCAATTCAGCTTAATATTAAAAAATATTTTTAACATTTTGATTTTTCTAATTGTCTATTGCTTTTCTATTCCTTTTTTATAATTACACATATTTAATTTTATTGTACCTGAGTTTTTATTTTACCCCATATCAAATTCTTTTAGAAGCAAGATTATACCTCAATCAAATTGATATGGTTTGGCTGTGTCTCCACCCAAATCTCATCTTGAATTCCCGTCTGCTGTGGGAGGGACTGTGTGGAAGGTTATTGAATCATGGGGGTGGATCTTTCCCACACTGTTCTTGTGATGGTGAATAAGTCTTATGAGATCTGATGGTTTTATAAGGGGGAGTTTCCCCGCACAAGTTCTCTTCTTTTGCCTGCTGCCATCCACATAAGATGTAACTTGCTTCTCCTTGCCTTCCGCCATGATTGTGAGGCTGAGGTCCTGTGGAAGTGTAAGTCCATTAAAACTTTTTCCTGTATAAATTACCCAGTCTTGGGTATATCTTTATTAGCAGCATGAAAACAGACTGATACAGTAAACATTAACCTTTTCTGCCTTCACCCATATTTTTATGTTACCAATTATTTGGGTTTTAATTTAGTACCTTGAACTCTTAATACTTTAACAGGACCAAGTTTAAAATTAGCCTACTGGATACCTTTTATCTTTTTAAATCCAACTATTGACATATATGTAAATTTTATTCTGTAACAAGTCTTCATTGTTCTTTGTGTTATTAAAATAATTATAAATAAATGGTTTAATGGGAACATTAGTGTATCAATTAATACTTTGAGTTGTTCAAAGGAATGCTTTCAAATCCCTTACTTGTGGGATGGAGAAGGCCATATTTCTCCCTGAATTTTATTATTATTTCTGCATAAACTACTGAGGGAATGTTTGACTCTGAAACTCAGATCAGGAGTGATTGGTATTCATTTGTATTAAATATTTTAGAAAGTGACAATAATTTCTGACTTCCAAAAAGAATTTCCCCAGGCATGTAAAAAGCAATTAAAAAACCCACATAGTTGAATGATCTAACACGACTTAAAATTCATAATAAAAGTTTTTAGGGAAAATACATAAATTTTAACATAATATATATTTGAGAATAAATTGTAAACACTGGCTTTTAAAAGACTCCAAATTGAACCTTCTTTAGTGTCTATGCTTAAGTGATGTGTGCTTATATTTTTAGGACCTCATTTACCTGAACCACTCCTCACCCATGATCAATAGTGGCTATGGTGGAGGTAATCCTACCCTGTTGACCATACTTGATATTTCTAGAAGTGACAGCAAATACAAATGTGGCCAGTTAGTTCCCCAGGAATTTAGGCCCCAAGGACATCTGTGTTTTCTACCATGATGTGCACAGAGAGAGAAAAAGATACAGAGAAGCAGTGAATAGAGAGGTAGAGATGTTGAGACAGTTATGCTCCCTGGTTCTCATTTCTGTGTATTAGATATCTATTGTAATGTAAGAAATTACTCCAGAATGCAGCAACTTAATACAGTAACACTTACAATTTTATAGTGTTTGTGGATCCAAAATCCATATAGAACTTAACTACCTGTCTCCCAGGGTCTCTCACAAAGCTGCAATCAAGGGATTGGCTGGGGTTGTAGTCATCTCAAAACTTGATTTGCAGAATGTCCACTTGTAGGGTCACTCACATATAGCTGTTGTCAGGCTTAAGGTCTTCTCTTAAGGTTGTTGGTCTGAAGCATCATTTCCGTGCCACACGGACTTCTCTACAGGGCTACTTGCTTTCTTCAGAGCTACTTTTCCACGAGCTAGGGCTTGGAGGGAGAGAGGAAGAGTGAGAGAGAGTGAATAAAGCAAAAGTCACAAGCTTTTTGTAACCTAATTTGGGAATTTATATCCCCTCACTTTTGCTGTATTTTATTCATTAGAAAAGAGTTACTAGGGCCAGCCCACACTCATGAAGAAGGGATTGCCCAAGGGCATGAATACCAGGAGATAAAGATCATTAAGTGCTATTCTAGTGGCTGCTACTATAGCCTGGCCTCTAGCCACCAATGATTCATGACCCTATCATATTCAAAGGACACTCAGCCCCTCCTAAGGTCCTCAAAAGTCTCATCCTATTACAACATCAGCTCAAAGCCCAGAAGCTCTTTGTATAAATCAGGTGCAGGTGCAGATGAAGATTCTTAGATACGGTTTCTTAAGTATAGCTCCTTAGAGTTCCTATCATCTGTAAATCTTTAGATCAACAAAACTAAAGAGAAAAATTGTCTACTCATACGCACGCCAAAATTATGGCTATTTGTAACACGGTAGCTGGCTTCCCCTGAGCAAAAACTGAAAGAGAGGTGTTAGGGGAGAAACTGAACAAGGCAAATGTCACAGTATTTTTGTAACCTAATAATTGGGAGTGACATTTTTTCACTTTTGTCATATTTTATTCATTAGAAATGAGTCACTAGGTCAGCCTGCACCCAAGAGAAGAGAATTTAAAAGGGCACAAATCCTGAGAAACAGGCATCATTTGGGGCCATTTGCAGGCTGCCTGCCACTCTCTCATAGGAGTCTGGCTGCATTTGTGTCTGGATTATATCAAGACCCTTCTGGCTTGTACAAAAAAATTCCACTACGTTTTTAAGGCAGCTGAAGTTGATGTCTGAAGCTTGAAAACAAAAAGTTATATAAGTTCAATATCTGTTCTTAAACTAGACTCATCTTTTCTTTGCATTAAAAAATAGTCAACCTTTCTTGGAGCATCTTATATGTGTTAAAAATTTCTCATTATCAGGAAGATTCTCTCCTATTTTTTCACAGTCCTAAATTACCTTATTTCTTTTAAAGTCCCTGGATATATTCAGACTACTTTAGTTGACATCTCTGCAGTATTTGACACTGTCAGCTACATCTTCTTTCTTGAAACACTCAATCCCTCTGGCTTCTGTGAAATCACACTCTCCTGGATTAACTCTTATCTGTTTCTTTCATGGGAACTTCTGATCTCTCTTCAATTTTCATGTACATCAGGATTTCATTCTTTTTCTTCTTCTTTCACTGTATACAGTCCTTGAATGAATGCACCAAACAGGGTTTCAATGACAATCAAAGTTGATGACCTAAATCTAAATCTCCTTCCTAGAGTTATATCCACCTGTTCAACACCTCCATTTCATATTTCACAAGTACTTACAACTTAGCTTCTTATCCCAATTTCTTTCCAACCTCAATATGCTTTCTTTATGCTTCCTCATTTGCTCAAGCTGGAAACTTTGACTTTGTTCTTGATTCTGTCTTTCTTACTCACATCCCACTCATCTAATCCTGTTCTCTGCTCTTGTTAATTTTCCCTTAGTATCTCTCTTTCTGGGCCAATTTTCTCCACCAATACCATACTTCTAAAATTTTATTTTTGTAATAAATCAATATCATCTTTCTTGTAATGTAGAATATACAAAAGTTTAAGAATGTGGGATTTGAGGCCAGGCACAGTGGCTCACCCCTGTAATCCCAGCACTTTGGGAGGCCTAAGTGGGCAGATCACTTGAAGTCAGGAGTTTGAGACCAGCCTGGTCAATATGGTGAAAGCCCATCTCAAGTAAAAATACAAAAATTAGCTGGGCATGGTGGTATGTTCCTGCAATCCCAGCTACTCAGGAGGCTGAAGCAGGATAATAGCTTGAACCAGGGAGGTGAAGTTGCAATGAGCCGAGATTGCCCCAGTACACTCCAGCCTGGGTGACAGAGCAAGACTCTGTCTTAAGAAAAAAAAAAAAAAAAAGAATGTGGGATTTGGAGTAAGACTACCTAGTTTTGAATCCTGGATCTACTACTTACCTACTTACTAGCTGTGTGATCTTGAGCTTGAGCAGGTTGCTTAAACTGTCTATGATTGAGCTTCTTCCTTTGTAAAATGTATAAAATAATGTTATTTACTTCACTGAGTTTTCCACAAGATTAAATGAGATAATGCAAGTAAAACATTTAGAATAGGGCCAAGCTCATAGTATATATGAAATAAGCATTGGTTATTACTAATATTAGCTAATGACTGCAATAACCTACTAAGTAGAATTCCTTTTTCACTCTTAGTCATCAATATAAACCATTCTAACACTTTGGTAAAGTACAAATGTAATCATGTCCTTCTTTACTCTTATTAAAACTTGTAAATGGGGCCAGGAGTGGTGAGTCATGCCTGTAATCCTAACACTTTGGGAGGTTGAGGCGGGTGGATCAACTGAGGTCTGGAGTTTGAGACCAACCTGGCCAACAGGGTAAAACCCCGTCTCTACTAAAAATACAAAATTAGCCAGACATGGTGGCACATGCCTGTAATCCTAGCTACTCGGGAGGCTGAGGCAGGAGAATGGCTTGAACCCAGGAGGCAGAGGTTGCAGTGAGCCGAGATTGCACCATTGCACTCCACCCTGGGCAACAAGAGTGAAACTCCATCTCAAAAATAAATAAATAAAACCTTTAAATGATTATCAATTGCTGTCAGATCCAAAATACTTAAAGTACCTTACAAGGACCCTCACGATCTTGAATAATTACTATGTGTTAGGTAAATACCAGGCGTGGTGAATTCAGTGACGCTGTCCTGCCCACATTACATGTGTGCTGGTCATGGACCCATCTATGTTGTCTGACTTTCAGTTCTCCAAACTGATCACACTTTGTCTCAGTTCTAGGCCTTTAAAAATACTGCTCCCCTACCTCTACTGCCATTCTTCCTCTTATCTGATGGTGTAATTTCTCTAATGCCCTGGTTTTGTTATCAAACTTGCTTTTTTCTAGGAGAGTCTTTCCTGACCACTAGTTTACTCTCACTCACTGGGTAGTACATTGGAATTAGCCCTACTACAATTTTCTATTTACTTTTCAGTTTTACTAATAGACTGCAAGCTTCTTGAGGACCAAGGTTGAGTTTGCTAATGAGTTTTCATTTAGCATTCCATCTCCAGTATGTACCTATCATCATGCCCCATACGGAGTGTGCCTTCAACACATGACTGTTTAATACATCTCTAGGCATATACTTAATAGTCATGTATTGAAGTGTGCCTTCCATACATGACTGTTAAATACATTTCTGAACAATTTGGGGGTGTTGGGCAGGGATCTAGATATACAAGAGACTGTGAACCAATCTGGGAAAAAAATTTGCCCTAGAGTGAAGTTACAGATGCTGGTTTCAAAGGCATCTGACTAGCAAGGGAGAGAAGGGACCACTTTGAATACAGAATAGAGTTAGTCTTTTAAAATCTCATCCGGATCAGTACCCTAGAGTCATCTCTGTTTTCTTTAACAAGAAAGCAAAAGATACCAGAGAGAGAGAGGGAGAGAAAGCAAATGAAAGGT
This sequence comes from Homo sapiens, assembly GCF_000001405.40. Classification (NCBI taxonomy): domain Eukaryota; kingdom Metazoa; phylum Chordata; class Mammalia; order Primates; family Hominidae; genus Homo; species Homo sapiens. The sequence continues at coordinate 72,793,794 of NC_000012.12, forward strand.
ATTACTAAAATTTCTGAGGGACCCGAAACACCAAGGCAAAACAGAATTGGTGATTGAAGTTTAGTTAGCAATCACCACTTTAGCAGGGACATAGACCATGCTGTTCTTGCAGACATCAGCTCCCTGGATATCTGGCATCAGAAGCCTCAGAATAGACTCCAAAAGATACCAACAGCATTGAGAATGCCCCTGGTGTACACTAGCTATGGAAATAATCTTTCTTATGTTGGCAGATACAGAAGACATCTGTGCAGCAAGCTGAGCCAGAAAGGAAGAGACTAGTAATTGTTGCAGAAAAATCAAGAAGACTAATCTTGCATCTCCCTTGAAATATCCAAGAGGTATTTCTGGAAATGCCTGGAGGGAATTTGTGTATGAGGATCAAGAAGATGAAAAGCAGGTAGAAGGAGAGGAAATCAATTGTTATTTTTGACTATTAACAAGACTCTAATTTTATCTTCAATGTGCTAAGATCTATGTCTTCATACACATAAATATATAATTTCAGCTCTTTTATACATTTTTTTTGACTCTTAGGTGGATTTTCTTAAGATTAGCTAAAACAAGCAAAACATCTTGTTAGCTAAAGCGTCTTGTTTAGATTACATGTGTATATATGTTGTTTGAATGCTTTGTGTTAGTCAGTCTTTACTAGGTTATGCTGCAATAACAAACAATCAAAAATCTCTTCAGCTTACAGGAAAAGAAAAGGGGACTTATTTCTAATTTGTGTGTCTGTTGTGGGTTATATTTAACTTTATTTTACAGTTTGTTTTCATTCTAGAATCCAGGCTGACTGATAAGCCCCTTACATAGACACACTGTCCTTGAGAAAAAGCGAAAAGAAAAGATGAAAAGCCTAGCAGTGACATCTAAAGCTTCTGCAGAAAACTTAACTTCATATTTTACTGGAATACTTGACACCTGTAGGGAGGAACACTGCAAATCACATGGCACAGGTAGGAATGGTTAATCTTCTCACTGCACTTGCAGAGAATAATCGAGAATATTAATTTAGTAATTTGTATGTTTCCTTAATTATAAATTAATGTGTTCTATTTCCCAAGATTAATTTGTCCTTTGTATACATCTTAGTAGATGTTGTGTACTCTAGCTCTATTGTTGCTGTTCAGTTTTCTATTCAGCATGGCTATTTTACTACCTCATTTTAATAGTTGATTAGGTAATGCCAAAATAGTCAAATTCTTATAAATTGTGTCTCCAGTTTTTCTTGACACTTTGACAGCTACATGGCCAAAACTATTTTCAATTGATTTCCTATATTTGTTTTTATTTAAATGTTTTTTATTAGTTACCTATTCTTCCTTTTGCCTGTTAATTCTAATAGATAATTTTGAATATTGTGCAAGAAAAATAAATTGAAACCATTAAAAATTAATTTTAACTTTTCTAATTTTTACAATTAATTTATATGCTTGAGGGAAAATATATTGACATTGTATGCATTTTAAATACAAATGCAGTTTAGTTTCTAATGCTTTTTTAAAAAGATATTGGTAGAATGCATTTTTTATGTATGTATGGATGGATGGATGGATGGATTTATTTATTTATTTTATAATTTTTGTTTTTGTTTATTTCTTCTAAAAAAAAAACACAGGATACATGTGCAGAGCTTGCAGGTTTTTACATGGGTATACATGTACCATGGTGGTTTGCTGTACCTGTTGTTCCCTAAGTTCCCTCCTCTTGCCCCCTAACCCCACTTATGAGTGAGAACATGTAGTGTTTGGTTGTCTATTCCTGTGTTAGTTTGCTGAGGATGGTGGTTCCCAGCTTCATCCATGTCCCTGCAAAGGACACGATCTCATTCATTTTTATGGCTGCATAGTACTCCATGGTGTATATGTACTACATTTTCTTTACCCAGTCTATCATTGATGGACATTTGGGTTGGTTCCATGTATTTGTTATTATAGTGTTACAATAAACATACATATGCATATATCTTTATAATAAAATGATTTATATTCCTTTGGGTATATACCCAGTAATGGGATTTCTGGGTCAAATGGTATTTCTGGTTCTAGATCCTTGAGGAATTGCCATACTGTCTTCCACAATTGTTGAACTAATTTAAATTCCCACCAATAGCGTAAAAGCATTCCTATTTCTCCACATCCTCACCAGCATCTATTGTTTCTTGACTTTTTAAATGATTGCCATTCTGACTGGTGCGGGATGGTATTTTGTTATGGTTTTGATTTGCATTTCTCTGATGAACAGTGATATTGAGCTTTTCTTCATATGCTTGTTGGACCCATAAATTTATTTTTTTGAGAAGTGTCTGTTCATATCCTTTGCCCACTTTTTGATGGGGTTGTTTGTTTTTTTCTTGTAAATTTTTTGAAGTTCCTTGTAAATTTTGGATATTAGACCTTTGTCAGATGGGTAGATTGCAAATTTTTTTCCTATTCTGTAGGTTGCCTGTTCACTCTGATGATAGTTTATTTTGCTGTGCAGAAGCTCCTTAATTAGATCTCATTTGTCAATTTTGGCCTTTTGTTGCAATTGCTTTTGGTGTTCTTGTCATGAAGAAGTCTTTGCCCATGCCTATGTCCTGAATGGTATTGCCTAGGTTTTCTTCTAGGGTTTTAATGGTTTTTGGTTTTAAATTTAAGTCTTTAAATCCATCTTGAGTTAATTTCTTTATGAGATTTAAGGAATGGGTGCAGTTTCAGTTTTCTGCATATGGTTAGCCAGTTTTCCAGGCACCATTTATTAAATAGGAGATCCTTTCTCTGTTGCTTGTTTTTGTCAAGTTTGTCAAAGATCAGATGGTTTTAGATGTGTGGTGTTACTTCTGAGGTCTCTGTTCTGTTCCATTGGTCTATATGTCTGTTTTGGTACCAGTACCATGCTGTTTTGGTTACTGTAGCCTTGTAGTGTAGTTTGAAGTCAGGTAGTGTGATGGCTCCAGCTTTGTTCTTTTCCTTAGGGTTGCCTTGGCTATATGGGATCTTCTTTGATTCCATGTCAAATTTAGAGTATTTTTTTCTAATTCTGTGAAGAATATCAATGGTAGTTTGATGGGAATAACATTGAATCTATAAATTACTTTGAGCAGTGTGGCCATTTTCATGATATTGATTCTTTCTATCCATGAGGATGGAATGTTTTTCCATTTGTTTGTGTCCTCTCTTATTTCCTTGAGCAGTGGTTTGTAGTTCTCCTTGAAGAGGTCCTTCACATCACTTTTTAGACGTATTCCTGGGTATTTTATTCTCTTTGTAGCAATTGTGAATGGGAGTTCATTCATGATTCGGCTCTCTGCTTGTCTTTTGTTGGTGTAAAGGAATGCTTGTGATTTATGCACATTGATTTTATATGCTAAGACTTTGCTGAAGTTGCTTATCAGTTTAAAGAGTTTTTGGGCTGAGATGATGGGGTTTTCTAAATATAAATCATGTCATCTGCAGACAGAGACAATTTGACTTCCTCTCTTCCTATTTGAATATCCTTTATTTCTTTCTCTTGCCTGATTGCCCCGGCTAGAACTTCCAATACTACGTTGAAAAGGAGTGGTGAGAGAGGGCATCATTGTCTTGGACCAGTTTTCAAAGTGAATGCTTCCAGCTTTTGTCCATTCAATATGATATTGGTTGTGGGTTTGTCATAAACAGCTCTTTTTATTTTGAGATATGTTTCATCAATACTTAGTTTATTGAGAGTTTTTAACATGAAGGGATGTTGAATTTTATTGGAGGCCTTTTCTGTGTCTATTGAGATAATAATGTGGTTTTTGTCTTTGGTTATGTTTATGTGATGGATTACATTTATTGATTTGCATATGTTGAACTAGCCTTGCATCCCAGGATGAGCCCAACTCGATCACGGTGGATAAGTTTTTTGATATGCTGCTGGATTCGGTTTGCCAGTATTTCATTGACGATTTTTGCATCGATGTTCGTCAGGGATATTGGACTGAAGTTTTCTTTTTTTATTGTGTCTCTTCCCAGTTTTGATATTAGGATGATGCTGGCTTCATAAAATGAGTTAGGGAGAAGTCCCTCCTTTTCAATTGTTTGGAATAGTTTCAGAAGGAATGGTACCAGCTCCTCCTTTGTACTTCTGGTAGAATTTGGCTGTGAATCTGTCTGGTCCTGGGTTTTTTTTTTTTTTTTTTTTTAGTCTTAGAACTTCTTTCTTTTTTATGAGACTATTAGGTATGTGTTAAATACTTACATATTCTCTGATACCTTTTTGATCACCAGCACTAACTTTCATTTACTCATGCTTTCACTCAGTATATTTCCATTATCAACAGTTCAGGATTTTTAAAATTATTGTTTTTTCACATATTGGACAATTTCATTTTCTTAATTTAATTTATAAAAAAGAATACTTTTTACTTCCCTAAAAGTAAGGCATATATAACACTTACTGATGTTCTGGAGAATCAAAATGATCAACAATTTAATATATCCATGAAAGTCTGACCTACTCTGTGAAGTGGAGATTTCTCAGTGTTTTTATTTACATTTCCATGCCTCTGATGCAAACAATTTCACCGACATTTATAATTTTCTTTGCATATGTATTGAGTAGCCTACTTTATTTAAGTAAGAAATAACTCCCATCAAAAGGGTTATCCTTTCCTGGCGTTGGGGCTCACACCTGTAATCCTGCCACTTTGGGAAGCCAAGGCAGGTGGATCCAGGAGTTCAAGACCAGCCTGGCCAACATGGTGAAACCCCGTCTCTACTAAAAATAGAAAAATTTGCTGGGTATGGTGGTGGGTGCCTATAATCCCAGCTACTCAGGAGGCTGAGGCAGGAGAATCACTTAAACTTGGGAGGCAGAGGTTGCAGTGAGCTGAAATAGCACCACTACACTCCAACCTGGGTGACAGAGCAAGACTCCATCTCAAAAAAAAAAAAAAAAAAAAAAAAAAAAAAGAAGAAAAAAGAAAAAGAAAAAAAAGGGCTTATCCTTAAACAATAAGGACATTTATTGGCTCATATAAATGAAATTCCTCAATAGGACTGGTTGTAAGGTAGACTCAATCAATCTGAAATATTTGGATATCTTTCCCTTTTCTTGCTTTTGCTTTATCTTCATACTGGTGGCAAGAAGCACAAGCATCACATCCATACATGATAACAACTGGAAGATGGAAGATATTGTCCCTTTTGGAAGCCCTTTCAGGAAGAATTTTTTAAAGTTCTGGAAAGAAACTACTCAGAGGCTCTGGAAAAATCCTTGTGGTGTTTCATTGGCACAAATTAGATTACATGTCATTCCTTAACCAATCATTGGTAAGGGGAATGTGATTATCCTTAATACAATCAGGCACCATTTGGAGATGGGGACTGGAGGCAACAGTCCTTTTGGTACATAATTTCAAAACAAACAAACAAAAGAGGATAACAGAACAAAATTAGGGTCCACATAGTAAATAAAGGGAAAGGGTTAAATGAATGCTTAGCAGCCTACAATAACAACGTTCAATTTAGTGTGCACTGAATATGTTTGTTTGTTGCCTTTATCATTATATTGAGAACATAATAAAAAGGCATCTATTTTTGTTAGAGATTGACTAACAGAGAGAAAGACTAGTTTTTCTATAAATGTTTAAGTCGGCCGAGTGCGGTGACTCACACCTGTAATCCCAGCACTTTGGAAGGCCTAGGAGGGTGGATCACCTGAGGTCAGGAGTTCGAGACCAGTCTGGCCAACATGGTGAAACCCCCATCTCTACTAAAGATAAAAAATTAGCCAGGTGTGGTGGCACGTGCCTGTAATCTCAGCTACTCAGGAGGCTGAGGCAACAGAATTGCTTTGACCTGTGAGGCAGAGGTTGCAGTGAGCCGAGATTGTGCCACTGCACCCCAGCCTGGGAGACAGAGTGAGACTCCATCTCAAAAAATAAATAAATAAAAATGTTTAAGTCATTTCCTCTGATTCCTTGAAGGATTTTGCTCTTGGTACACACTCTGTCTCTTACATGGCTCCTGCCCTAATTCATCGTAATTTCAATATCTACATAGATGGTCGTATAATGATGTGGCTGCTTAGTTCTGTGAACTTTCTCCAATGATCTTGTTTTATACTTTTTCTTGGTCATCTTTTCTAATGTCATAGTTCAGACCTTATCATTATAAAAAAAATCACACCCTGTTCTTTTCTTTTTTTTATTATTATACTTTAAGTTCTAGAGTACATGTGCACAATGTACAGGTTTGTTACATATGCGCACCCTGTTCTTAATCTTAATTTCAAACATCATCTTTTTCTCTCCTATCAAAATCTATACATTTTTTTGGTCCATCTCATTCCCTTTTGTATTCTAAAATCAGAAAACATAGTACCTAGCATGGTCTCAAATCCATTGATTCTATCCATTTATACTTTCTCTTATCTGTCTTATATCTTTGCTCTTCTTTTTAGTCTGCTCAAATTCCCTCATCAATTCTTATGGTCACTCTATTGCATAACAGCTGCAACTTTTGTGTTTCTTTCTCACTTTCTTATACCTGTTTTAGCCAAGTACAGTCCTAATTAATCCTAACCAAATTCTACCCTCGCTGAATGTCTGAATCCACACAACTGATCAAAGCTGTATGAATCTGTAGCCAACTATCTTACTTTAAATTCATGATTACTAATTTTACCTGTGCCTTTAATATTGCCTGGCCATGAGATTACATGTATTTCTAGTTTGCTAAACGTTTTACTCTCCTTGATAATTATTTAATATTTTTACTTTTCTTCTGAAACCTCCAACCTCCATCCCTATACTCACTCTTAGCTCATGATTTTGCTTTCTATTTTACTGAGAATTAAGAAGCTATTAGAAAAGAAATATTACTGGAACCCACCAACAAATCTACTCATGTGGACAACTGGGTCCATATGCTGAACCTTCTTTTCTGGTTACTATGGATGGCCTGTCTGCTCCTAGTAAAGGTCAACCTTTTCACTGGTGTACTCACTCAAGCTCTCTTGCCCTTTCAAGACCATTATTCCAGGCCAGGCGCAGTGGCTCACACCTGTAATCCCAGCACTTTGGGAGGTGGAGGTGGGCAGATCATGAGGTCAGGAGTTCGGGACCATTCTGATCAACATGGTGAAACCCCATCTTTACTAAAAATACAAAAAAAAAAAAATTGCCAGGCGTGGTGGTGCGCACCTGTAATCTCAGCTACTCAGGAGACTGAGGCAGGAGAATCGCTTGAACTCGGGAGACGGAGGTTGCAGTGATCGGAGATCGCACCATTGCACCCCAGCCTGGGTGACAGAGCGAGACTCCATCTCAAAAACAACAACGACAACAACAACAACAACAAAAACTCTCTTATTTTCTCTGTATCTTCTTATTTTCTCCTCATAAGCGTACAAAATTTACTATTTTTATTAACTTAAAAAATCTCAGACTGATCCTATGTATGCTACTGCCTTCTATCCCTTTTCTTCTTCACTTTGCAGCAAAACTCCTCAAAAGTATTGTCTATGCTCATTACCTCCAGCTTCTCTCTTCTCATCTTCTCTTGAAATTATTTCAGTCAGACCTTTGCTCCTCCCCACTGAAATTGTTCTTGTCAGTATAATCATGACAGTCTATTCTTATTGTCAAATTCAAAGGTTAATTCACATTCTTCCTCTGATTTGGCCTTTCAGCATTATTTGGCACAGTTGGTAACTACCTTATCTTTTCAACATTTTATTTCCTTGGCTTTCACATGATCCTGGTTTCTTCTTACTGACCTCTTCTTCCTTTTTACATTTGTCAGTCCTCCCTTATTTCCCAAACCTCCCAAATTTGGAATGCCTCAGAGCTCAGGCTCCTAAATATTCTTTATTCAATTAATTCTCAAAATCCCAAGAGTACATCTTCAATTCAACCTCCCTGAATTCTAGAACTATGTAGCAAACTGCCCACTCAGCATCTACATGTGAGTAGGATCAGGGTTAGGAAATAAATAAATGACATGTCCCTACGAAACTGGAGTAGAACTAAAAAAATGTAAAGATCTTAATATACTTGGTGTGATGGTACATTATCTGGAAACTGAAGAAATAGCTGTATTTTAAAACCAGGGTTGGTATTGGGCAGAAGTAGAAAACCTGTACTGTTAAGGGATGAATCTGACATCTGGACCTTAGAGAATTTTCTGAGATACTTTAAGGAGGGCATCTAGATACCTATCTGATTAAAACATCACTCTTTTTTTTTTTTTTTTTTTTGAGACGGAGTCTTGCTCTGTCACCCAGGCTGGAGGGCAGTGGCGCGATCTCGGCTCACTGCAAGCTCCGCCTCGCGGGTTCACGCCATTCTCCTGCCTCAGCCTCCCAAGTAGCTGGGACTACAGGCGCCCGCCACTACGCCCGGCTAATTTTTTGTATTTTTAGTAGAGACGGGGTTTCACCGTTTTAGCCGGGATGGTCTCGATCTCCTGACCTCGTGATCCGCCCGCCTCGGCCTCCCAAAGTGCTGGGATTACAGGCGTGAGCCACCGCGCCCGGCCAAAACATCACTCTTAATAGAGCCTCTAGTGCCTATTCAGCATGGCTAATGGTGTGGGGAGCATCGATTGAGGAGCAGAGCTGGTCTTTGGAAAGAAACTGAAAGTCAGAAGGATGCTGTGGAAAAGCCTTTGGAAAAATGCATTGTTGGATATTAAATGTTTTACCTGGAGAGTCACACATACCCAGTGTCTGTGAGCTGATTAGAATCGATCAAAGAAAGTCCTTCATGAAGGAGCTAACTGTACATTTCTGTTTAAACCAAAGCTGACATCATTCTTAGGAAATTGGAATGTGTCAAGTGAAAAAAGTGTGTATTGCATATATGCTTGAGCTAATTAAAAGACCCAATTGGCTTTATTAGCTGTAACAGGTCTGCTATTGAAAACCTTATTAGAGCCAATCTTTGGGCTCTTGGTTGAGAGCTTGTATTACCCGGGAACTAGAGACTTGGCAGGGATGGGACAGGGAAAAATTCAATGCCATAGACTTGAGAGGTAAATATTGTATTGTGTTTAGATCACATCATTGGAATGTTAGTGGGGTGCAAAGCCTCAGGGATATAGATGCAACAGAGATTAATAGAAAGTTTTTGGAGACTGGTACTAAGAATTATGTACATTTTCAAAAACCACAAAATGCCTTCCTTTCTACAGCAGAATGTCTGACATCAGTCAAAAAGTTACTCAATAACACAAGTAGATGCTGAGACGTATATGTCAACTTTGTAAACACACATCATTGGAAGTACCTTAGTATATGTGTCAAAACTTGAGGGACTTTTGCATTGAAGTACCGTGGAGTGCAGTATGAAAAATCACCATCAGTTAGGGCACATTGCCGGAGGAGCTATTTACAATAAAGAAAACTGCAGGATCCAGGAAAGGCCAGAAGGTTCCTCCACTTCTCACTGCTAGTAAAATAAATTACTGAAGAAGAAATGAAAGAGACAGCATTCCCAAATAAACAAAGATGGGATAGTTGTGTTGTACTGAGACTGAAGGCAACAATTCAGATTTAGGGAGCTGACATGGATACCATCATGATTACGCTCCCTAAATATAATCACACACAAGCAGAGTGTCAGGAAATGGGAGTAACCAGATCATCCACCTCTGGCTGAAATGTTGCCCAGAAGATACCAGGTGGTCTCTTCAGAGACTATACGAGTCACCTGGCTTCCAGTTAGCAAAACTGGCTAAATGTTAGCCCAAATAGGGCAGTTGTGTTTATCCACCTAGGCTTTGAACTCTTAGCACCTAGGGATCTCAAGTTGAATTTGGAGGTAGATTAAGAGAGAACATATAAAGGAGTTCCTAGGATTAGGTAAAGTAGAAAAGAGCAGGGTTGAAACAAGAATGGAGATCTTAGGGACCATACAGCCATAAAGATAACTATGTCTCGATAGTTGAGAGGAGAATGTTGGAAAATGAGAAATGGGTTGGAGTAATGAGCAATTTTAGTACCATGACAGAAAAAAACCCTTAATAAAAACCTCTCTTTGTAGGATATAGAATTGCTGGAGTAGGTTGCTGAAATGGGCGGTATATATACACCCTTGGACCCTTGCCCTGAGAGGAGAGGAATGACAGCCAAGAACTCAGGCTGCTGAAGTGGCTTACTTTCCTGGCTCCCTATGATGCTTCCTGGGCAAGAACCACTAGAGACAGAAGCTGACACTCAGGAAGCAGCAATGGGAATATTTTGACTAGGTTGTGAGATGTGTCCAGGAGGGGAGAAGGAAACCTTTCGTGTATATAGGTAACTGGGTAGCTCAGGAGACAGTTTGAAACGCAGTTACAGATGCCCGGAAAGTCAGAAGAGTGGGATACACCTAGGAATGACAGGTAAATGCTCTACATTGTTATCTTCCAGATAATAGAGGCATTCTCTAGAAGGAATACTACAAGTCATGTTTTCTTTTTCTTTTTTCAAAGAAATGTGTAACAGTACATTGAAACATTTATCTTTTCAGCAGCAGACACAGAAATTCCTTTGAGAAAAGTGATGTAGTTTTCTCAGCCTTTGGAGGAAGGCAGGGGAAGGAGGAGAGAGGCAGAGTCCCTGCTGTAGCGGGAAGGGTCGAGTGGGAGATGTGATCTGGTGACTGCAGCCAGGAGGAAATGCTGGGCATCCAAGGCAGGCCTTCTGATGATCACATGTTACCCACTGCAAAGTAACCCATCACTCATTCCAACAATATTCATTAGAGCTATAGGCTTTGTGTGTAGCTTTCTCCAGAAAGCTGTTATTGGAGCTAGTTTGGTGGTCAAATTTGAGTTCAGATAGATACAGGTGGATTATACAGAAGTGGTAAATGTCTAACAGCTGAGTTATATATCATTTTCATTGATGGATAAAATTTGACTTTATCTCAAAAGCATTTTTAAAAATTCATGTAGTTCTGTATCCAGGGTATCTTGAGAAATGTATCTGAAAACTTGGTGCCAAAAAAAAATCTCATAAAAGTGTGCAAAATCTGTTCTGTATAGATCAGTGATAAGTGAAAGATAAGTATAAATGAGAGATAAATCAAAAGTATCAGACATTCAGTGACTTAATAATTAGCAATTAATTTGATAACTTCAATGGAAGAAAAATTTAGCAATTAACACTCTCATATTTATATAAAAAGTAATAAACTAAATCCCATATTTTTAATGCTAGGAAATATATTAGTGCACACATAATTTAGAGTACATTCTCACTTCTTAGGCCAAATATTACTTCATCAGAGCACCAAAAAAAGATTACTGATCCTGTCTTTATTTAAAATGTTGACATTTTGCTTATCAATTTGATATTTTCTCAATACTAATTTTATGTTAATTTATATTTTTTTAAATATTGCATTTAATATTATTTACCTTGGCTACTGAATTTTTTGGAACCTTCTTAAATTTTGTGTCTAAGACAATTGTCACAGCCTCTTCATCATCTTTGATGCTCTGGGTGGCAGCAACATTATCTATATGGGTGCTGAGATAAGCAGAAATTGCAAAAAGTCTGCAGCATTGGCACCTGTAGTTGGAGGAACTGCTTAAGATATTCTGAATATTTCCCTAATTATTTGAGATAAGCTGCACTTTTGATGTGAGTAGTTCTAATGAAAGTTAGCACCCTCTAAGGCAAGTCCTGATGCATATCTGGAAAAAAAGAAACTTTTAAATTATTGCTAGATTACACATTTACTTGAAAGAGTACTTTGAGATTCATTTAACAAGTTTAGAAAGTTAACTCCTGCTCTGAACATGGTAAAAGAGATGTGTAACCAATGCAGAAGAGACACGATAGACAGGTATGGAATAAAAAACTCCTACTAAAGTGAGACAGATGCTAAGGGCTTCAGTTTTGCATAGGAGGATACAAGTAAAAGGCCCTTGGGAATGTATGCCTTTTCCCTTTGAACTCTGTTACTCTTTTCATCTTTAAGAAGTAAGCTTCTTTGAACTCTACCATTTTAACCCAACCAATATATTTTTTTCTATTTTAACTCTATTATGTTTTTATACCCTTCCATTTTCCTATACAGCTCCATGTAGACCCAGGCCCATCTAATTCTTGAGTCAATCACAGAAGCATCAAGAAATACAATCTCAGCTTTTCCCTAACCCCTACAACCTCTGTCGATTGGCTTTAGATCAAGTCCTTGTCCTACACTTGAGACCCTCAGAGCCATCTATTTTCTGTGTAGCTCATGTCCTATGTTCCTCTAGCTGCCAACAATATAGTGAGTCAAGTGTGTTAGATATAAGCCCAAGATGTTCACCTAGTTACAGTGTTTCATATTACTATGGTTCCAGTTATAAGACCATAGGACCGAGCTTTTTTTTGACTCTAAAGATTCACTCTATTTCACCAATTTCTGCCTGTAGGATCAAAGCTTCAATGTAAACTAAATCTCTCACTTCAGCCTTATGCTCTGTCTTTGATCTTGTTTTTATGAATTTTCCCAGGAGCTTGATCGTGCCTCATCTCTCCAGTATAGACAATTTCTTCTACATATGCTCAGATTTCTAGGAATGACATTGTCATGTCTTTGTTCTTTCGGGTCCCAATAATTGGGCTAACACCTGACTTCCCCTGTTGATTGGTTGCCTTGGAGCTTGTTGCTAAGGGAATAAAATAGCTGATGTACGTCCTCTCAGACAAGACATTTTCATATAGGTCCAGTGAACCAAGTATAAAAATACAAACGTTTGTTGAATGTGAAGCTGTCCTCACAGGGTTAACAAGAATTCTGGACAGAAATATAGTGATAATTGGGCATTAATCAGGCGGCACATTGACCTACTTCTTTGTAACTGCAAGTCACATAGCATTAGATACTGACCATTTGCATCTCCATTGTTTCTACAGATAGAATTTCTGGCATTAAAATCACAGGGCTTTTATTTAAGATAAATAGGGTCTCTGACATTAGAATCATAAGGCTTTGTTTAAGAATTGCTTAAGATCTTTTTCAGATCCTGAATTGCAGCAAAACAGCTGAGGCCAGCTATTTTGAAGACCCCAAGAGAGGAATGGATTTGCATGAAAATATCATTTCTTCAACTCCCTGTCTCAAGACTTCACCCTGCACTCTTTGACAAATGTTCCCCACACTTTGCTTCATTCCAAAACCTTGGACCCAAATTCCTTGGGGAGTTTAAATTTGAGGTTTCCTCCCATCTCCTCATTTGGTGATCCTACGGATTAAACCTGTTTCTCCGCTGCAACCCAGTTTCTTGGTGCATTGACTTGCTTTGTGCATTGGGCAATGGAGTTATTACAGTTACACATGGTGAAGAAAGTGATTGATCTTGTCCCAGTTGGCATTTTTCATATAATATTGAAGACACAAATAAAAAAATAAACTGAGCAATACATTTTGCTAGTTTGTTTTCAGGGAAAAAAAGTGTTTTTGTAAATTCTTAATACGATTTGCTTGTAGGATTTATAAACAGATTCTAGAGGCAATGCCAAAAAATTTTAAACCTATTTCGACATGGCACCAGATTGCTATTAGGATTTAGCTATGAAAGCTGGCAGTCTGAAATGACAATTCTCATTTTTAAATTCTACCATGTTAATTAACAGCTACATAAAAATATTTTCCATGCTTTCCAATCGCACTTCACAGATTCTTGTGCTAAATGATCAAATTTAATAAAAGTTTGTGTTCATATTCTGAAAATGAAAAATTATGTTGGTGTAATCATCATTACTAGTCAGAGGTGATCTGGTCACAGTTAAACACCTGCATTTAAATTAATGACCTTCATTTGTAAATGTATTTACTTAGATTTTAAAAAGAAATTTTTCTTATTATTATTATACTTCAAGTTCTAGGGTACATGTGCACAACGTGCAGGTTTGTTACATATGTATACATGTGCCATGTTGGTGTGCTGCACCCATTGACTCGTCATTTACATTAGATATATCTCCTAATGCTATCCCTCCCCCCTCCCCCCATCCCACAACAGGCCCCAGTGTGTGATGTTCCCCACCCTGTGTCCAAGTGTTTTCATTGTTCAATTCCCACCCATGAATAAGAACATATGGTGTTTGATTTTTCGTCGTTGCAATAGTTTGCTCAGAATGATGGTTTCCAGATTCATCCATGTCCCTGCAAAGGACATGAACTCATCATTTTTTATGGCTGCGTAGTATTCCATGGTGTATATGTGCCACATTTTCTTAATCCAGTCTATCATTGATGGACATTTGGGTTGGTTCCAAGTCTTTGCTATTGTGAATAGTGCCTCAATAAACATGTGCATGTGTCTTTATAGTAGCATGATTTATAATCATTTGGGTATATACCCTGTAATGGGATGGCTGGGTCAAATGGTATTTCTAGTTCTAGATCCTTGAGCAATTGCCACACTGTCTTCCACAATGTTTGAACTAGCTTACATTCCCAACGACAGTGTAAGAGTGTTCCTATTTCTCCACATCCTCTCCAGCACCTGATTTTTCCTGACTTTTTAATGGTCACCATTCTAACCAGTGTGAGATGGTATCTCATTGTAGTTTTGATTTGCATTTCTCTGATGGCCAGTGATGATGAACATTTTTTCATGTGTCTTTTGTCTGCATAAATGTTTTCTTTTGAGAAGTGTCTATTCATGTCCTTTGACCACTTTCTGATGGGGTTGATTTTTTCTTGTAAATTTGTTTGAGTTCTTTGTAGATTCCGGATATTAGCCCTTTGTCAGATGGGTAGATTGTAAAAATTTTCTCCCATTCTGTAGGTTGCCTGTTCACTCTGATGGTAGTTTCTTTTGCTGTGCAGAAGCTGTTTAGTTTAATTAGATCCCATTTGTCAATTTTGGCTTTTGTTGCCATTGCTTTCGGTGTTTTAGTCATGAAGTCCTTGCCCATGCCTATGTCCTGAATGGTATTGCCTAGGTTTTCTTCTAGGGTTTTTATGGTTTTAGGTCTAACATTTAAGTCTTCAATCCATCTTGAATTAATTTTTGTATAAGGTGTAAGGAAGTGATCCAGTTTCAGCTTTCTATATATGGCTAGCCAGTTTTCCCAGCAGAATTTATTAAACAGGGAATCCTTCCCCCATTTCTTGTTTTTGTCAGGTTTGTCAAAGATCAGATGGTTGTAGATGTGTGGTATTATTACTGAGGGCTCCGTTCTGTTCCATTGGTCTATATCTCTGTTTTGGTAACAGTACCATGCAGTTTTGGTTACTGTAGCCTTGTAGTATAGTTTGAAGTCAGGTAGCGTGATGCCTCCAGCTTTGTTCTTTTGGCTTAGGATTGTCTTGGCAATGCGGGCTTTTTTTTTTGTTCCATATGAACTCTAAAGTAGTTTTTTCCAATTCTGTGAAGAAAGTCATTAGTAGCTTGATGGGGATGGCATTGAATCTATAAATTACCTTGGGGAGTATGGCCATTTTCATGATATTGATTCTTCCTATCCATGAGCATGGAATGTTCTTCCATTTGTTTGTGTCCTCTTTTATTTCATTGAGCAGTGATTTGTAGTTCTCCTTGAAGAGGTCCTTCACATCCCTTGTAAGTTGGATTCCTAAGTATTTTATTCTCTTTGAAGCAATTGTGAATGGGAGTTCACTCATGATTTGGCTCTCTGTTTGTTATTGGTGTATAGGAATGCTTGTGATTTTTGCACATTGATTTTGTATCCTGAGACTTTGCTGAAGTTGCTTATCAGCTTAAGGAGATTTTGGGCTGAGACGATGGGGTTTTCTAAATATACAATCATGTCATCTGCAAACAGGGACAATTTGACTTCCTCTTTTCCTAATTGAATACCCCTTATTTCTTTCTCCTGCCTGATTGTCCTGGCCAGAACTTCCAACACTACGTTGAATAGGAGAGGTGAGAGAGGGCATCCCTGTCTTGTGCCAGTTTTCAAAGGGAGTTCTTCCAGTTTTTGTCCATTCAGTATAATATCGACTGTGGGTTTGTCATGAATAGCTCTTATTATTTTGAGACATGTCCCATCAATACCTAATTTATTGAGAGTTTTTACCATGAAGGGCTTTGAATTTTGTCAAAGGCCTTTTCTACATCTATTGAGATAATCATGTGGCTTTTGTCTTTGGTTCTGTTTATATGATGGATTACATTTATTGATTTGCATATGTTGAACCAGCCTTGCATCCCAGGGATGAAGCCAACTTCATAGTGGTGGATAAGCTTTTTGATGTGCTGATGGATTTGGTTTGCCAGTATTTTATTGAGGATTTTTGCATCAATGTTCATCAGGGATATTGGTCTAAAATTCTCTTTTTTTGTTGTGTCTCTGCCAGCCTTTGGAATCAAGATGATACTGGCTTTATAAAATGAGTTAGGGAGGATTCCCTCCTTTTCTATTGATTGGAATAGTTTCAGAAGGAATGATACCAGCTCCTCTTTGTACCTCGGGTAGAATTTGGCTGTGAATCCATCTGGTCCTGGACTTTTTTGGTTGGTAGGCTGTTAATTATTGGCTCAATTTCAGAGCCTGTTATTGGTCTGTTCAGGGATTCAACTTCTTCCTGGTTTAGTCTTGGGAGGTTGTATGTGTCCAGGAATTTATCCATTTCTTCTAGATTTTCTAGTTTATTTATGTAGAGGTGTTTATAGTATTCTCTTATGGTAGTTTGTATTTCTATGGGATCAGTGGTGATGTCCCCTTTATCATTTCTTATTGCGTCTATTTGGTTCTTCTCTCTTTTCTTCTTTATTAGTCTTGCTAGTGGTGTATCAATTTTGTTGATCTTTTCAAAAAACCAACTCCTGGGTTCATTGATTTTTTGAAGGGTTTTTTGTGTCTCTATCTCCTTCAGTTCTGCTCTGATCTTAGTTATTTCTTGCCTTCTGCTAGCTTTTGAATGAGTTTGCTCTTGCTTCTCTAGTAAATTGTGATGTTAGGTTGTCCATTTTAGATCTTTCCTGCTTTCTCTTGTGGGCACTTAGTGTCATAAATTTCCCTCTAAACACTGCTTTAAATGTGTCCCAGAGATTCTGGTATGTTGTGTCCTTGTTCTCATTCGTTTCAAAGAATGTCTTCATTTCTGCCTTCATTTCATTATGTACCCAGTAGTCATTCAGGACTATGTTGTTCAGTTTCCATGTAGTTGAGGGGTTTTGAGTGAGTTTCTTAATCCTGAGTTCTAGTTTGATTGCACTGTGGTCTGAGAGACAGTTTGTTATAATTTCTGTTCTTTTACATTTGCTGAGGAGTGCTTTACTTCCAACTATGTGGTCAGTTTTGGAATAAGCATGATGTGGTGCTGACAAGAATGTATATTCTGTTGATTTGGGGTGGAGACTTCTGTAGATGTCTATTAGGTCCACTTGGTGCAGAGCTGAGTTCAATTCCTGGATATCCTTGTTAATTTTCTGTCTCGTTGATCTGTCTAATCTTGACAGTGGGGTGTTAAAGTCTCCCATTATTATTGTGTGGGAGTCTAAGTCTCTTTGTAGGTCTCTAAGGACTTGCTTTATGAATCTGGGTGCTCCTGTATTGGGTGCATATTTATTTAGGATAGTTAGCTCTTCTTGTTGAATTGATCCCTTTACCATTATGTAATGGCGTTCTTTGTCTCTTTTGATGTTTGTTGGTTTAAAGTCTGTTTTATCTGACACTAGGATTGCAACCCCTGCTTTTTTTTGTTTTCCATTTGCTTGGTAGATCTTCCTCCATCCCTTTATTTTGAGCCTATGTGTGTCTCTGCACGTGAGATGGGTCTCCTGAATATAGAACACTGCTGGGTCTTGACTCTTTATCCAATTTCCCAGTCTGTGTATTTTAATTGGAGCATTTAGCCCATTTACATTTAAGGTTAATATTGTTATGTGTGAATTTGATCCTGTCATTATGATGGTAGCTGGTTATTTTGCTCATTAGTTTATGCTGTTTTTTCCTAGCATCGATGGTCTTTACAATTTGGCATGTTTTTGCAGTGGCTGGTACTGGTTGTTCCTTTCCATGTTTAGTGCTTCCTTCAGGAGCTCTTGTAAGGCAGGCTTGGTGGTGACAAAATCTCTCAGCATTTGCTTGTCTGTAAAGGATTTTATTTCTCCTTCATTTATGAAGATTAGTTTGGCTGGATATGAAATTCTGGGTTGAAAATTCTTTTCTTTAAGAATTTTGAATATTGGCACCCACTCTCTTCTGGCTTGTAGAGTTTCTGCTGAGAGATCCGCTGTTAGTCTGATGGGCTTCCCTTTGTGGGTAACCCAACCTTTCTCTCTGGCTGCCCTGACATTTTTTCCTTCATTTCAACTTTGGTGAATCTGAAAAATTATGTGTCTTGGAGTTGCTCTTCTCCAGGAGTGCCTTTGTGGCATTCTCTGTATTTCCTGAATTTGAATGCTGGCCTGCCTTGCTAGGTTGGGGAAGTTCTTCTGGATAATATCCTGCAGAGTGTTTTCCAACTTGGGTCCATTTACCCCGTCACTTTCAGGTACACCAATCACATGTAGACTTGGTTTTTTCACATAGTCCCATATTTCTTGGAGACTTTGTTCATTTCTTTTTACTCTTTTTTCTCTAAACTTCTCTTCTCACTTCATGTCATTCATTTGATCTTCAATCACAGATACCCTTTCTTCCACTTGATTGAATCAGCTACTGAAGCTTGTGCATGCATCACGTAGTTCTCATGCCATGATTTTCAGCTCCGTCAGATCATTTAAGGTCTTCTCTATGCTGTTTATTCTAGTTACCCATTCGTCTAATCTTTTTTCAAGGTTTTTAGCTTCTTTGCAATGGGTTTGAACATCCTCCTTTAGCTCAGAGAAGTTTATTAGCAATCGTCAGAGGCCTTCTTCTCTCAACTCGTCAAAGTCATTCTCCATCCAGCTTTGTTCCGTTGCTGGTGAGCAGCTGCGTTCCTTTGCAGGAGAAGACGTGCTCTGATTTTTAGAATTTTCAGCTTTTCTCCTCTCGTTTCTCCCCATCTTTGTGGTTTTATCTACATTTGGTCTTTGATGATGGTGACATACAGATGGTGTTTTGGTGTGGATGTCCTTTCTGTTTGTTAGTTTTCCTTCTAATAGTCAGCACCCTCAGCTGCAGGTCTGTTGGAGTTTGCTGGTGGACCACTCCAGACCCTGTTTGCCTGGGTATCCCCAGCGGAGGCTGCAGAACAGCAAATATTGCAGAACAGCAAATGCTGCCTGATCCTTCCTCTGGAAGCTTCATCTCATAGGGGCACCCAGCTGTATGAGGTGTTAGTTGGCCCCTACTGGGAGGTGTCTCCCAGTTAGGCTACTTGGGGCTCAGGGACCTACTTGAGGAGGCAGTCTGTCCATTCTCAGATCTCACACTACATGCTGGGAGAACCACTCCTCTCTTCAAAACTGTCAGACAGGGACGTTTAAGTCTGCAGAAGTTTCTGCTGCCTTTTGTTCAGCTATGCCCTACCCCCAGAGGTGGAGTCTACAGAGGCAGGCAGGCCTCCTTGAGCTGTGGTGGGCTCCACCCAGTTTGAGCTTCCAGGCAGCTTTGTTTACCTACTCAAGCCTCAGCAATGGTGGACGCCCCTCCCCCAGCCTTGCTGCTGCCTTACAGTTCCATCTCAGACTGCTGTGCTAGCAATGAGAGAGGCTCTGTGGGTGTGGGACCCTCTGAGCCAAGCATGGGATATAATCTCCTGGTGTGCCATTTGCCAAGACCATTGGAAAACCACAGTATTATGGTGGGAGTGTCCTAATTTTCCAGGTACTGTCTGTCATGGCTTCCCTTGGCTTGGAAAGGGAATTCCCTGACCCCTTGGGCTTCCCGGGTGAGGTGATGCCCCGCCCTGCTTTGGCTCATGCTCCTTGGGGGCTGCACCCACTGTCCGACAAGCCCCATTGAGATGAACCCCATACCTCAGTTGGAAATGCAGAAATCACCAATCTTCTGTGTCGCTCATGCTGGGAGTTGTAGACTGGAGATCTTCCTATTTGGCCATCTTGGAACTTCCCCTGAAAAGAAAAGATTTAACCAGCATATTTAGCTACACAAAGAATGAATCCACACTTTAAAGCCAAACAAGTAATAGAAATAAACTTGCATTGATCTTTGAGTCACCCTTGGCTCTTCTCTTTCTCTTATACACCATATCAAATCTGGATTAATATTTTATTGCTGTTGCCACAAATTACTACAAAATTAGTAGCTTAAATAACAACAAATTTCTTATCCTACTATTCTGTAGGATTGAAGTCTGACACGGGTCTCACCGAACTTAGATCCATAAGTCTAGACAGTATGCTCTAAGGGGCAACCTATTTCCTTGCCCTCTTTGGTTTCTAGAGTCTGCTCACTTTCCTGGGAACATGCAGCCCTTCCTCCATTTTCAAAGTCAGCAGCAATGCATCTTTGTTTGGTAGAAACTTCTTCCTCTGCCTCATTCTTCTGCCTCATCCACTTCTAAGGACCTTTGTGATTACATTGAGCCCTCTAGAATTGTCCAGCATAGTCTCTTTATTTTAAGGTATGCTCATGTGTAACCTTAATTCTATCTGCAACCTTAATTCCCATTTGCTATATACCCAAACATATTCATATGTTCTGTTCTGAGGATTAGACAGGAACATTTGGGAGGCCTTTATTCTGCTTTCCACACAGCAAATTGCTACCAAAAGCAAAAATTTTTACTATTTTTTTAAATACATTACTGTGCCACCACTTTTCCTACCACAACTGCTGTCACTGTGGTTCAACATCATCTCTTGCCTGAATTATTATATCAATCTTATAACTGGTGTCAACAAAAAGAGCCAAACTGTAAAATATTTGAAGAGATTTATTCTGAGTCAAATATGAGTGACCATAGCCTGTGACACAGCCCTCAGGAAGTCCTGAGAACATGTGCCCAAGGTGGTCAGAGTGCAGCTTGGTTTTATACATTTTAGGGAAGCATGAGCCATCAAATACATTTAAGAAATACATTGGTTTGGTCCAGAAAGAGAGGACAATTTGAAGTGTGGGGAGGTGCAGGAGGTGGGATTCCAGGCTAAAGGTAAATTTAAACATTTTCTGGCTGACAATTGGTTGAGTTTGTCTAAAGATCTGGGTTCAATAGATAGGAATGTCTGGGTTGCAAAAGAGGTTGTAGAGACCAAAGTTTTACTATGCAGATAAAGCTTTTAGCTAAGAGGCTTAAGAAAGAATAGGTTGTAAAATGTTTCCTATCAGATTTAAAGTCTGTATTGATGTTGAGAAGTATAATGAGGTATGTTTGAACAGCACTTCCCATCAGGGCCTGAAACAGACTCTCAGGTTAAATTTTAAGAGCCCTGGCTGAGGAGGAAGTGCATTCAGATGGTTGGGAGGGGGGCTTAGAATTTTATTTTTGGTTTACAGTGGTCTTATTGCTTTATCCTTGCCTCTGTAAGCCATAAATAAAATCTAAGCTTTCCAACCAACTGAATGGACCCCCTCTGAAAAACTAAATTCTGGATTTTAACAGGAAGTGGGGGTCAGACATGCCTCATTATGCCTCCTCCTCTTTGGAGCTTAGGCACAAATGACTAGTATTGACATTAAAATAGGGATCCTCAGACTGACAAAACAGACTCTTTGTAGTAATAAGATACCAAATTGCAACGTCACTCTGGTATGGCATGACGTGACAGATGTTGCAGACTCTGAAAGAAATCAAAATATTTTACTCCCAAATATATTTCGTTGACATATTTTGAAATGGTCCTCCAATGTTGCCATCTGTAGGGGAAACTTGGAATCTGTAGAGGATCTCTATTAGTGCAGCTAGGTCTTTCCCATATCTAGAAGGGATTTAGAGTCTGACACCTTCTAAGATGCTAAAAAAAGACAGCATCTATTCTCTCTGAAGCCTGTTACCTGGAAGCTTCATCTACATAACAAGAACCTTGGCTTCCACAACCCCCCCCTTATCTTAACTCAAGCATTTCTTTCTAGTGATTTCAAGTCTTTAGCTTAACTCTTTCAACCAATTGCCAATCAGAAAATCTTTGAATTGGCCAGGCACAGTGGCTCACACCTGTAATTCCAGCACTTTGGGAGGTCAAGATGGGAGGATCACTTGAACTCATGAGTTTGAGACCAGCTTGGGCAACATAGGGAGAGCTTATCTCTACAGAAAATTTAAAAAAATAGAAATAGCCAGGTGGGTTGATGTGCATCTGTAGTCCCAAGTACTCAGGAAGCTGAGGTGGGAGAATTGCTTGTGCCTTAGAAGTTGAGGCTACAGTCAGCCATGACTACACCACTGCACTTCAGTTTTGGTGGCAGAGCAAGACCCTGTCTCAAAAAAAGAAAAAAGAAAAAGAAAATCTTTGAATCTACCTCTGACTTGTAAGCCCCCCACTTTGCCATCTTTCTGGGCTGAAATAGTATACACTTATTTTCATGCATGTCCGTGTGAAGAGACCACCAAACAGGCTTTGTGTGAGCAACATGGCTGTTTATTTCACCTGGGTGCAGGTGGGCTGAGTCCAAAAAGAGAGTCAGTGAAGGGAGATAAGGTTGGGGCCGTTTTATAGGATTTGGGTAGGTAAAGGAAAATTACAGTCAAAGGGGGTTTGTTCTCTGGCGGGTAGGAGTGGGGGTCGCAAGGTGCTCAGTGGGCAGGAGTGGGGGTCACAAGGTGCTCAGTGGGGGTGCTTTTTGAGCCAGGATGAGCCAGGAAAAGGACTTTCACAAGGTAATGTCATCAGTTAAGGCAAGGACCGGCCATTTACACTTTTGTGGTGGAATGTCATCAGTTAAGGTGGGGCAAGGCATATTCACTTCTTTTGTGATTCTTCAGTTACTTCAGGCCATCTGGGCGTATACGTGCAAGTCACAGGGGATGTGATGGCTTGGCTTGGGCTCAGAGGCCTGACATTTATATGTGTTGATTTATGTCTTGTCTATAACTTCTGTCTCCCTAAAATGTATAAAACCAAACTATAACCTGACTGCCTCAGGCACACTTTCTCAGGACCTCTTTAGACTTTACTGTGGGCCATGGTCACTCATCTTGACTTAGAATAAACCTCTTAAAATATTTCACAGAGTTTGGCTTTTTCATAACACCACTGCAGACTATTTTCCACATAGCAGCCTGGTTAATCTTTTAAAATAGCAGTCATAATTTGTATCACTTTCAAAACTCTTCTAATGCTTCCCAACTCACTTAGAATAAAATCCACAGTTCTTAGAGTGATCCAGTACACCCTCCAAAATCAAGTTATGTCCCTGTCCTCATCCATATCACTCTCTTTCTACTCACCCTGCTTCAACCACACTGACCTCTTTGTCTCACACATCCATGTAAAGAGACCACCAAACTGGCTCTGTGTGAGAAACAAGGCTGTTTATTTCACCTGGGTGCAGGCAGGCTGAGTCCAAAAAGAGAGTCAGCAAAGGGTGGTGGGATTATCATTAGTTCTTATAAGTTTTGGGGTAGGCAGTGGAGTTAGGAGCAATGTTTTGCCAGCAGGGGTTAGATCTCATGAAGTATATTCTTAAGGGTGGGGAGAATTACAAAGAACTTTCTTAAGGGTTGGGGAGATTATAAAGAACATTGATCAGTTAGGGTGGGGCAGAAACACAATGGTGGAATGTCATCAGTTAAGGCTATTTTCACTTCTTTTGTGGATCTTCAGTTGCTTCAGGCCATCTGGATGTATACGTGCAGGTCACAGGGGATATGATGGCTTAGCTTGGGCTCAGAGGCCTGACACTCTTGATGCTGTGGCAATAGGCCAAGCTTATTCCCATCCAGGGTCCTTGCACTTGTTATTCCTTCCACCTAGAATCTTTTTCTTCAGATGTCTGTATGTTTCACTCCTTCAGAATTCTAACTAATGAGATTTTTCCCTGAATATCTCTATCTAAAATAGCACCCTTGTACTGTCCCAAACTCCCTGTGTTATTTTGCTTTCTTTTTTTTTTATTCTCAGCACTCATCACTGTCACACACGTCCATGTGAAGAGACCACCAAACAGGGTTTGTGTGAGTGATAAAGCCTTTTAATTACCTGAGTGCAGGTGGGCTGGGTCCAAAAAGAGACTCAGCGAAGGGAGATAGGGGTGGGGCCATTTTATAGGATTTCGGTGGGTAGTGGAAAATTATAGTCAAAGGGGGTTGTTCTCTGGTGGACAGGGGCAGGGGGTTACAAGGTGCTCAGTGGGAGAGGTTCTGAGCCAGGAGAAGGAATTTCACAAGGTTAACCTTTCAGTTAAGGTGGGGCAGGAACAAATCAAAATGGTGGAATGTCATCAGTTAAGGCAGGAACTGGCCATTTTCACTTATTTTGTGATTCTTCACTTGCTTCAGGCCATCAGGATATATATGTGCAGGTCACAGGGGATATGATGGCTTAGCTTAGGCTCAGAGGCCTGACATTCCTGCCTTCTTATATTAATAAGAAAAATAACATAAAATAGTGTTGAAGTGTTGGGGCAGCGAAAATTTTTGGGAGGTGGTATGGAGAGATAATGGGCGATGTTTCTCAGGGATGCTTCGAGTGGGATTAGGGGCGAAGTGGGAACCTAGAGTGGGACAGACTAAGCTGGAGGAAGATTTTGTGGTAAGGGGTAATATTATGGGGTTGTTCGTGTAGCAGGACGAGCCGCAGACAAAAGCTCTCAGACACCGAGTTGTAGAAGGAAGGGCTTTATTCAGCTGGGAGCATTGGCAAGCTACTGTCTTAAAATCCGAGCTCCCTGAGTGAGCAATTCCTGTCCTTTTTAAGGGCTCACAACTCTAAGGATTTCACACGAAAGGGTCATGATTGATTTGAGCAAGCAGGGGGTACATGACAGGGGCTGCATGCACCAGTGGTCAGAGTGGAACAGAACAGAGAAGGGAGTTTCACAATGTTCTTTTATACAATGTCTGGAATCTATGGATAACAATGGTTTCTAAGTCATGAGTTGATTTTGAACTACTAGGTTTAGGCCAGGCAGGCCAGGCCTGGTTTTGGGCCTGGCACCAGGCTGCCTGTCTTTGATTTCACTTCTTTGTTTTTTTCTTAAAACAGGTATTGAGTATAAAACAATATAAAACAGTATGAGAAGGTCTCTTTCTTCCCTCATTTCCCCCCTTTGAGACTCTCACTTTTTATTAGTGGGAGTTCTCACTCTTATTTTCACTATATGTGTCTTCTTGTGCAATAGATTGATAGTGATTTATATAGTACACTTGTGCTGAAGCATTCTGGTGAACTAAGGTAATGATGAGGCTTTGTATCATTTGAAGAAGTACAGGTAGCAAACAAGGGAGCAGTAAGCAGGTTCTTATTACTATTATAACTTCTATTATAAGAGTTTTAAATCCTCCTAGTGCTGGGAACTAATTTTTAAACATGGCTTCAGGGTCGAATTCATGCTACACTTGTACGGGCACATGTGTCAGTTTTGTCATATTTTTAACTATGTCTTTAACTACTTGCCTTGCTTATCTATATGTAGACAGTAACTAGTAAGGTTAAATTTCTTATAGACCTCTCTTTCAGCTGCTAGTAAGTAGTCAAAAGCCAATCTATTTTGATAGATGGCATTTCTTATCTGAGTTTCTTGCTGGGCCAAAATAGTCAAGGCTTGACCGGTTTTATTAGTGATTATTTCTAAAACAGCTTGCAACCATATGATTCGGTTGAGCATGTAAATGGGGGTATGGTAACCCTATGAGCTGTCTTGTGTCTAAGTGGCAGGCCTATAGTATTGTATAATTTTTTTTTTTAGGAGGTCATTTATCATCTTTCTAATTACCTATGGCTATGCTTCATTTTCCGTGGGAAGCATAGACAGGGAAGCCTAGGAGTTTGCCTGTTTTTATGGGCAGTAGGAAGAAAGATGGTTTAATGGTGCCAATTACACAGCTACTTATCCACTGATCAGGCAGCTTAGCATAGGCTCTATGTCCACATATCTAGTATAATCTGGTGGGGGCAGTCTAGTCCTGGTGGAACTCTGGGTGGGCCTAGACAGGCTGCAACCTTGGAAATTTAGTGAATGGATCTCTTTCTGTGTAATTGGAACTCCACCACATAACTGTTATTTTTTTGGGGGGGTACTATTATACAGTTTTTGTCCTAGGCAACTAAGTCATCTTACAGAATCAGTGAATTATTTTCTTTTTCTAGCTATGCAGTCTTGTCTAATAATTGAGACTTTTAGAACCTAGAAATGATCAGGGTGATTCTTTTGTGCCAGGAATTCATCAGGAACTGGGTCTGCAGGCACTAATTCTCAGGCTTCTTATGGCCATTGATCTCTTATTGCAGTTTTTCTACAAACATAACATGAAGTGACATTTAAAGACTGGGCTACGTGCTTGGCTAACTGCACAAACAAATTTCTGGTTTTTCCTGGAGTCTCAGGTACTAGCACATTTAATTCATCATAGAAAGTCTGAAATACTGGTTCTGGAGAGCGTCTTTGAACCTCATCTTTTACTAAGATATTTACTCTAGGACCTAGTCCTTTCCTATTGATGCCCAGAGATATGTGTTCTTTTTTTCTACCTTGGGTTTAAGGGATTTGTAATTATTAATTTTAAGGGGTTGCAGCTTCCACTCATACAGGAGGGGCTGCCTTCTCCTTTTTGGAGCTAAACAGGATCTTTTTCATCTTTTTTTAAAGTAGTCTAGATGACACAAGACCAGTAATTACACACACTTGTGCATGAGCATCTTATTCTATGCCAATTGCTATTGATAGTGGCACAAGCATTAAATTTTAGGGTTATATGCTTGGAGACCCCTCTTTCTTCTGTCCTAGCTATTACTTCACTTGTGTCACCTAGAAAAGGACCAGTCCTTAATTTTATTTTAAAAATTGTGATTATGGGAGGCTTAAAATTGGTCATAATACGCATCAGGTTGGTTATTTCCTGGGCTACATACTTTGGATAGAATAGCATTATACAAACAAGTTTCTTTTAGAGTCCTGGTACACTTATAATAACTATAAAATAATAGGACTGTAGCAATCTTTTTGTCCTACCTTAGTGACTTGATGTATATACTGGGAACAGTTCTCAGTCTGAGGAAGGTCAGTTGAAGTCCTTACTGTAGAAGTCCAAATTTTAAGGAAAATGAGTCTCGGAATGAGTTTCCTCATGCTTTGGCCATGCGTGGCCCAGTCAGCTTCCGGGTGTGACTGGAGCAGGGCTTGTCAACTTCTTCAGAGTCACTTTGCAGGGGTTGGCAAAGCTACTCCTCTCCACGTACAGCTCCTAGTCTACTGATGTTTAAGGATGGTCTCGGAGGTTGGGCCCACTAGAATAAACTGAGTCCAATACTTCTACACAGTTATGTTTGACTGGGCTCACTGATACCAGGAGCAAGGTGGCAGGGTTTAGGGTGTTGCAAACTTCAATGGTTATGCGGGGATTTTCAAAGAGCAAGGTTTGGTATCTAGTTAGTCTAGCATTCATTAGCTAATTGTGTCCTTTGGTATTTATTAAAATCACCACCGCATGGGGGGACTTTATGTTTAGGTTTTGCCTATGAGTTAGCTTATCTGCTTCTTGTGCTAATAGGGCCATTGCTGCCAGGGCCCTTGGACATGGGGGCCAGCCTTGGAAACCCCATCTAGTTGTTTTGAGAGATAGGCCACTGGCCTTGGCCAGGGCCCTACAGTCTGGGTTAAAACTCCAACTG
Source organism: Homo sapiens (assembly GCF_000001405.40). NCBI lineage: Eukaryota > Metazoa > Chordata > Mammalia > Primates > Hominidae > Homo > Homo sapiens. The sequence goes on from NC_000012.12 coordinate 72,821,360, forward strand.
CTATTTTTTTTTTTTTTTTGACACATAGAGTGTAAAAAGTTTTGTCAGGTCAGGTAGCCCCAGGTCTGGAGACGACCTGAGTTGTTTTTTTTTTTAACTCATGAAAAGCTTGTTGCTGTTGGTTGTAATACATGTAGTATTACAGTATTACAATAAAAATTTATATTTTTATTGACTGTAATCTACTAAAATATTGACTTAAATCCTGTAACTATTTGATTTCAAGCTTTAAATTGATCTGGTATTCCTTGCGGGGCTCCAATTGCATCTAAATAGATGCGAGAGTTGAAAAACTTATAAGGGGCTTCTCTTGCTTCTCGATGTCTTATTTTTTTATTTTTCCTCTTGTTGATGAAATGCCAGGGTGAAAGGGATAGCCAATTGGACCAAAGTACAAGTGCCACTCTAGTTATTTGGCAGAGTGCCTAGTAAAGGTCCATCACAATACCACCACACATCCACTCAGGGATGAACAAGAGATGACTGATTGATAAGCTCTTGAAAATTCTTAAGCTCACTGCATCCCTTCAGGTCTCCAAGGAATGCTAAGTCTCCTCCCTGCCATGAGAGACATGAAGTGAACTTAGTGTTGGGAGACAGAAGCTGGATGGCCCTCGGGGGCTGACTCGAAGGGACTTCGGGATATAGCAGAGAGAGCTTGGCATGACTTATTACTCCAGACTGTAGAATCCTGGAAAAGAGCTACCATGCCACCCACGCCTGGTCGACTGGAGGACCACCTTAGTGGAAGGGGGACAATCAGGGCCTCTGGCCTGCCATGTGCACAAGCATAACAATTGCTTTTTTTTAACATGCAGATGGAATATTTGATCCATTTCAACCAGGCATTTGTATCTTGGTATGCTCTCTTAATTGCCAAAGTTTGTTTTAAGTCTTTAACTTCTATGATCCTCTAGTAGAATGAATGTTTCCTTTAGCACCTATTTTTATTAGTTTTTAGACCAAAGAAAGCTAAACACCATTTTATATTTAATAATGCTTCTTGTATGATTTTTATACCAGATAAGTTAAATTTTACCTTTATATTAGTGTGTTATTGATGTTAAACTTAATTTTAATAAAATCTTGTAGACATATTTATCCAACTTTTCATGTTTCACCATAAGGTAAGATTTTATAGACTCTTTTTAACTTTTTATAATTTTTGTTAAAGAGCAGGTTGGTGCTTTAAGAAAAACTTGTTGCATTTTTACTTTAATGTCCAGTTCACAGAAAAACTGGATGGTACATTTTTAACTTTAGCTAATATGTTTAAACACATATTTTTTTTTTTTTACAATTAATGTTTTAAAACTTGCTTAAACTTTTAAAACAATAATTTTTTTAACTTTTTAATGTAGGTAAAAATCTACATTCTTATGCCTCCTTATGATCTTTTAACCAAAGGTATATTTTACTTTTTTTAGACACCTTGCACATAAACTATTTCTTCAATAGTACTCAGGAGGCCTTATTACTTTTAAATTATACAACATTTTTTGCATAAATTTGTCTTTTATAACATTTGTTCTTTCATGACTTTTGTAGACAATTTTTCGACATGTCTTAACTTTCTGACTTATTAAAAACATTTTTTTTTTTCTTTAAACAACCAGTTAATTTCTTTCAGGACAAGAATTTACCATATAACACTCTTTTTATATAAATTCTGCCTCCCCCTTTTTTTTTTTCCTTTTTTTTTTTTTTCTGAAGATAACCATTTTTTTTTAAAGTGAACTTCCTTTATGTCTGTGGACTAGACTATCTAAGGCCACAAGATTAGGAGTTACTATAATACATGTGACACTGTTAACTTTTAGCAAACTTCACTTTTGTTGAAAACCTTGTAAGTTTGGGATTTCAATTATCCTTTGCTATTAATAAGAGCTTGTTTAGTCTAAATTAACTTAGAATAGGTATAGATGGCCTCTTTTTCTCTCTGCTTGTCTTTCTTTGCCTCTTCCAGCCGCTTATGCTGCTGTTCTCTTAACTACTGTGGGGGGGAAGGGGGTCTAAAACCAGCTGTAACTGTGTATGTATGGAAACTGGTCTGGGTGCTTTGGCTTACAGGTTACCTTGTGCCATACCTTTTAAACAAGGAAACTGTCTAGGCTTCCTTCTGATGGCCAACCCACCTCTAATGCTGGCCAGTCTATTTCACACAAAGTTTTAAGTTTTCCTGGTGCCATAGTAACACTGTAATATCCCTTAAATCCTTTCTTGAAATTTTTCAACATAGTGGCTTGGGCTTACTTTGATCCTGATCCATGCTTCTTTGAGACAAAACACCATGATCACACCACAAGCACACCACAAAACAAAGAACAAGTAAAAAAGGGCACCCACACACTTTTGCAGTTTACACCAAACCAAAATCAAAACCAAAATCAGAGTATCCAGAAATCCAAGCCAGGTCAAAAACTGAAACCAAAGTATCAAGCAATCTAAGTCAAGTCAAAAACAAAAACCAAAGTGCCAGTACAGGCACACCGTTGGTGATCAGGCCACGCTTCCACTCAAATGGAGTGGGCAAGTTCCCAAGACCAGTCCTGTCAAGCAATTCAAACCAAGTCAAAACCAAAACCAAAACCAAAGTGCTGATAAAGGCATGCTGTGGGTGATCAGACCACGCTTCCACTCAAACAGAGTGGGCAAGTTCCAAAGACTAGTCTTACCAAGTTTCAGATGTCCAGACTCCAAGTGCCAGTTCCTTCCCGGTGTTCAGCCACTGTGTTAATCCTCCATGGGGGCCTGCTACTCGCTGCTCTGGTGAGGCGTTCCACTGGGACAATTGCCTACCTGGGAGCGCTACTTGGATTGCATCACTCAGGCTGGCTGGAGTCCCCTGCAGGGATGCTCCACAGGACAGGCCTAAGCTGCCTAAGGGGCTGCCTTGGCCGTCCGTCAGTCACCTTGCTTCCCGGTCAGGGAACCAAGAAATGTAGCAGGACGAGCCACAGACAAAACCTCTCGGACACCGAGTTGTAGAAGGAAGGGCTTTATTCAGCTGGGAGCATCGGCAAGCTACTGTCTTAAAATCCGAGCTCCCCAAGTGAGCAATTCCTATCCCTTTTAAGGGACACACAACTTTTTAAGGGCTCACAACTCTAAGGGTTTCACAGAAAGGGTCGTGATTGATTTGAGCAAGCAGGGGGTACGTGACGGGCTGCATGTACCAGTGGTCAGAGTGGAACAGAACAGACCAGGGAGTAATTTCACAGTGTTCTTTTATACAATGTCTGGAATCTATGGATAACATTAGTTTCTAAGTCATGAGTTGATTTTTAGCTACTAGGTTTAGGCCAGGCAGGCCCAGGCCTGGTTTTGGGCCTGGCGCCTGGCTGCCTGTCTTTGATTTCACTTCTTTGTTTTTTTCTTAAAACAGGTACTGCATATAAAACAATATAAAACAATATGAGAGGGTCTCTCTCTTCCCTCATTAGAAGGAGCATTTGTCATATAGAATGATTGGTGATGGCCTGTATATGGTTTTGGATGAATTGAGAAACTAAATGGAAGACACAAGGTCTGAATAAGAGAAGGAGAAAAACAGGTATTAAAAGACAAAGAAATGGGAGCACCCAGGACATCCAATTAGAGAATGACCAAGGGGGTGCAGCGTAATTACTTTCTTGTTGGTGAGTTTTTTGGACTCTATCAAACTTTATCAGTCCTTCAGACCCAAGTTGATTCTCTAGCTGCAGTTGTCCTCCAAAACTGCAGAGGCCTTGACTTACTCATTGCTGAAAAAGGAGGACTCTGTATATTTTTAAATGAAGAGTTTTGTTTTTACCTACATCAATCTGGCCTGGTGTATGACAACATAAAAAAACTCAAGGATAGAGCCCCAAAACTTGCCAACCAAGCAAGTAATTATGCTGAACCCCCATGGTCACTCTCTAATTGGATATTCTGGTGTTACTGGGGGTCCTTGCTCCCAGAACTCCCAAGATGATGGCTAGCACTTACAAAATGGCGGCAAGCCTCGTGTTCTGTGACCTGGGGTTCTTGGCCTCACAGGTTCCAAGGAATGGAATCTTGGGCCATGCGGTGAGTGTTATAGCTCTATTAGAAGCCATGGGTCACGGAAGAGAACCGTGGAACCCAGTGACTAGTGTTCAGCTCGATTAGGACGAACCCAGGCACTTAGCTGTGCAGGAACAATGGCAAGCCTTTAGACCGATCGGGAGCGGCAATGGGTGCCTCGCTGGATCAGGAGCACAGCAGACACCCTGCTGGATTGGGAGGGATGGAAGTCAGTGGCGGGTCTGCGATAGCAGCAAACAGCAGTGGTAGACGGCGAGCAAAAGCTCAGCTTGAGCTGTAACAAACATGGACCAAAAGAGAGTGCAGTTGCAAGATTTAATAGAGTGAAGACAGAGCTCCCATACAAAGGGAGGGGACCCAAAGAGCGTAGCCATTGCCACCTCGAATGCCTGGGTTTGTATCCTGATCATTGTCCCTCCCGCTGTGCTCTCAGGCAATAGATGATTGGCTATTTCCTTACCTCCTGTTTTTGCCTAATTAGCATTTTAGTGAACTCTCTTTGCTATCTGATTGGTCGGGTGTGAGCTAAGTTGCAAGTCCTGTGTTTAAAGGTGGAAGTGGTCACCTTCCCAGCTAGGCTTAGGGATTCTTAGTCGGCTTAGGAAATCCAGCTAGTCCTGTCTCTCACTGGGTCCTCCCAATTCTTTGTCCTTTAATACCTGTTTTTCTCCTTCTCTTATTCAGACCTTGTGTCTTCCATTTAGTTTCTCAATTCATCCAAAACCGTATCCAGGCCATCACCAATCATTCTATACACAAATGCTCTTTCTAACAACCCCACAATATCACCCCTTACCACAAAATCTTCCTTCAGCTTAATGTCTCCCACTCTAGGTTCCCACGCCACCCCTAATCCTGCTCGAAGCAGCCCTGAGAAACATCATGATCTCTCCATACCTCCCCACAAAAATTTCTGCTGCCCCAACACTTCAACACTATTTTATGTTATTTTTCTTATTCATATAAGAAGACAGGAATGTCAGGCCTCTGAGCCCAGGCCTGCATGTATATATCCAGATGACCTGAAGTAACTGAAGAATCACAAAAGAAGTGATAATGTGATAATGGCCAGTTCCTGCTTTAACTGATGACATTACCTTGTGAAATTCCTTCTCCTGGCTCAGAACCTCCCCCACTGAGCACCTTGTGACCCCCACCCCTGCCCGGAAGAGAACAACCCCCTTTGACTGTAATTTTCCACTACCCACAGAAATCCTATAAAAAGGCCCCACCCCTATCTCCCTTGGACTCAGCCCACCTGCACCCAGGTGATTAAAAAGCTTTATTGCTCACACAAAGCCTGTTTGGTGGTCTCTTCACACAGACGCGCGTGACATTCACCACCTGATATATAGCATTTTATGTGTTTCCTTACAACAGAACATAAGCTCTGTGAGGACAGATAATTTTGTTCATTGCTATATCCTCAGCATCCTGAAGAGAACCTGGCACAAAGTGTATGTTCAATAAAAATTTGTTGAATAAATGAAGTTATGGCAATGAAGAAATTCATTATATGGAAACTTTCCTCTGTGGTTCTTCTTGAAAAATTTTAAACAAGTTCTGACTACCAGCTTTCAAATAGGTATTGGCTCTTATATATATATATATATTTTTAATCAATCCCTTAATATTTTGTCCACTCACTAAGGTAGAGTCTAACATCTTGCTTTTTATCTAGGTCCCTATATACCACAGTTCACATTCTTCTTTAGTTGATGGAAAAAATGTCCAGTAGATAAATCTGAATTTGTGTGCAGACATGTTTTATTGTATTTGCATTACACTCTGGTATAATTAATCCTAACCTGAATCACTGGAGTAAATTAGTTTGTTATTATGATTATAAATGAATTTTATTTGTTTTTCTTCGATATAAGATCATTTTGGATGATCTAGCCAATTCCTTCCTATCAGATGAATTTAGAAATAAATAATCTAGGAAAATTGTCCCACAATTTAAAAAAAAAACAGATCTGAAACAAGACTTATGATCAACATTCCAGTTTGTTCTCTAACACATTTAGTGTGCTAAACATTCTGGGAACCTATTAATAATCTATAAGGGAGTTATACATATTTTATACTAAAGTATGTCTGAAAAGGCTATACCTTTATAGGTAATAAGCTCCTTACAAAAACACTTTCATGAATTTTTTATATTTATTTGGAAAAACAAAAATCTTCTCTCACTTTAGAAGGTCAGATATGACACCCAACTATTAATAAAATAGCGTTTGGTCTTGGATTCAGTAGTTGGGTAGCTTCCAATCAATGTCGAAAGATAGTTATCTGTTATAATTTAATCAAGCAAGACATTGATATATAAAGTATAGTACAGCCTCTTATTCTTCACAGATAAATTAAATGAGTAAAGGAATAAAATGCTTACAAAAAGAATCTCTACCTGAAGAATGACGATATTAGATAATAGAAAGACTATTAAACTCAATGTGTATTTTGATAACCTTTTTGGATGAGTGGGGTCAACCAGCTTATTCACATTTCTTTAAACCTTAGTTTATTCATCTGTAAACAATGTGATTGGACTAGCTATCTCTAAAGTTCTTTCCACCTCCAGAATTTCTCATTTCTCAATTTGGCTTATTGTTATTATTTCCACAAGATATATTTTCTTTACACCTTGTATTTCCAGACATCCCTACAAAAATGTAAAGATGAAAAACAATGAATGCTAATAAACGCAATGCTGATAAAATCTTAAGACATCTTAAGAAATAATTATTTTCCTAAAACTTAATCAAATTATTCAAAAATGGAAAGAATAATGCATAATTTAAAGTAAAGTTGGCATGTGTAATGGAAAAATAATAATCCATGTTTTACTGTTTATCTTTTGATATGAAATATCTGAAGGCTGCTTACTGTGATAGGGAAAAGTTTTGTTGACTTAGTTTAGTTTGTTGGAAATGATTTTGAAGTTAATATCTGTATATATTCTGTCTGTAAGTGGAAGGATTTGGAGGAGCCCTGTTAAGAAGGCAGTGACATATAAAAATCTCTTTACAGCAACAACAAAACTCACTTCAAGAGAAGGAAAAACTTTCCTTATTTTTCTTTTTGTATCTGCTCACTGCCTTAAAACCACTGCTTCATTGTTGAAACTTTATCAGATTAATTAACATTTTGAGATTTTGTGATTACCATTACATGTTTTCAACATTAACTCAGCCTGTATGTCAACATGAGCTAGTTCTAAGTCTTGTGACTAAGTTAAACTTAACTACAGATAAAGTTATAATATCTTGTGAAATGGTAGTTTTAAAGGTGTCATCCTAACCTTTTATATATCATTTTATTTTAACAAAAATTGTATAGGAACCCTTCTGGATTTCTGAGTAGTTCTATGAGTTTTGACTCAGTGTATGAGTTTCAGTTATTCACACATATTCTTTCTCTTTCTATCAGCATTCTAGAGGTGCTTTGAATAGATTACCTGCTGCTTCTCATTTCCTCATTCTATTGTGATAGTACAGAGAGCTACATACATACATACATCGAAGCACATAGAATTTTTTTCTGAGAAAATGTGAAGCCAATTACAAAATACATTGAATTTCTGCATTAAGAGCCTATTCCTGAATCATAGTGACATGAGCAATTAGAAAAAATTGCCTGAAAATGAAGTACTCTTGAGAATATACCTTAGAGCTCCTGGCTGTTAATAATTTCTTAAGTAGATGTGGACAAACAGTGAAAGATTGTGACATCCTTATGAGGAACAGTTTGTCCATTACAATATTTTATGCTATCAAACTCTTTGGTAATTTCCATGGCAGAGTAAATGTTACACAAAAAGCTCTCCAGAATTCTTAAGAATAATAAATGAATTTCTGTAATACACTTTCTTTTTTTTTTTTTTTTTTTGAGACGGAGTTTCACTCTTGTTGCCCAGCCTGCAGTGCAATGGCGAGATCTCAGCTCACTGCCACCTACACCTCCGAAGTTCAAGCGATTCTCCTGCCTCAGCCTCCCGAGTAGCTGGGACTACAGGCATGTGTCACCAGGCGCAGCTAATTGTTGTATTTTTATTAGAGATGGGATTTCTCCATGTTGGCCATGCTGGTCTGGAACTCCTGACCTCAAGCGATCCACCCGCCTCGGCCTCCCAAAGTGCTGGGATTACAGGCATGAGCCACTGGGCGTGTCCTGTAATACAGTTTTAGGTAACAGGGACAGCCAAGTTTATAAGCTTCACAATCAGATAATGCAGGTTCCTATTCATTTTAGCAATTAGAATAGTGTCTACAAACTAAGTTCAGTAGCATGAACTTGAGAGTTAGTCTGGATTCAAATCCTAGCCCTACCTCATTTTAGCTGGTGAAACTTCTTAAGCTTCTTCATGCAAATATAACATCAATAGCTCTCAGTTCCATTGCTGTATTCTTGAACTCCATGAGAGAAAACACAAACCCCCAGCAATATTTTTACAATTTAATTTTTCCTGGTAGTCTTGCCTTTACATGCAGAAGCTGCCTCTCAAGCTATTTCCTCAGTGACCCTTCCCTGTCCACCTACATAAAAGAGATCCTCCTTGAGCCCTTCACCCTAAGGCATTTATGTTGTCCTCTTTCTTTTCACTCTGAGTTTCTGTCACAAATATCTCTAACAGTTGACACTGCGTATTGTGCTTCAAGGGTTAGAGGACAAGAAAACTGCACCACTCAACTTGAAACCATCAAACTCCTCTTAATAAGTACTTTATGAGTACCTATTGTTAAGATTAAATGAGGTAATGGTCTTGGAAACAGCTGACATGTAGTTAAGGTCTTTATAAAGGCTAACTATTATTATGAGACAAGTTTATTGCATTGGCTGAACTTAATAAGAGTACAAAGAGAAAATAGCTCTATTTTATTTTTCCAAATATGGTCTTTTAAGAGGTTAGGTCATTCTCCTGTGCTCACCCCAGTATAATGAGTCAGGAAAATGTCACCTTTTTTCCAAGTGTGTTGGGGATGTGAGAACAGATTTAAAAAAATCGAGTCAAGTATAAAATCATCACTTCAATCTGTTGTACAATTTAAAGCCTGAGCCCAAACCCTGCAGGTCAACAGCAGGTAAAGTTCTGCTTTACTGTTTTCCTTACTCCACTTTCTTTGCACGAATTTTGCTCCTTCTGGCTCCTAGGATGCTGATGGGTCAAGATCCATTCAAAGTTTATACTGAATTTAATTGATTATGAACATATTGTGAAATTAAGTTGATTAGCATAAATTTACATAACACTTTATATTTTATCTTTTACAATAAAGATATGCATTAATTGGTGAAATTTTAATTCTGTCCCTCAGCAACATTTCACAAAGAGACAGAAGGAGAGAAAGAGAGGAGAGAGAGTGAGAGAGTGTGTGTGTGTGTACCGGATTGCCATGTAAAGCGTATTTTATGCCATAGGTTATGATGTAAGAGATTTCAGTAATTTAAAGACCATTGGATTATTGGTGCTGGATATTAATACCTTCTGTCTTTGGAACATAGGGCTTTGTCTCTCCTGGGATGTCTTTCGTCTCTTCAGAGACCTCTCACAGAACATACTACATTGTGTTCTCTGGATGAGGTGCTCTCCTGTTGACCACTTATTATTTCCTTGCTACTGTCTCCAATGGTACATCCCTGGCCTCTTCATCCTAACAGGCAGCCCTTTCTAACAGCCTCCTTTCCAGCTGAACTGGGCTCATGGGACACACTCACTCTTGCCCAGGCAGCAGTGGAATGCAGGCTGCCTTCACTGCAACCTTGTTCATTCAACTTTCTACCTTTAGATTTCTGTAGATGAAAGTCTGGGTCTAGTCTCTGGCTCCCAAACTCCAGGAGACTCAAGTTAGAGGAATTCTCTCATACTCTATTCTAGCGCTAGGAGGGCTTATATGGTTAATAGACTCATTAATTGTCTTACCAGAGAAAGAAATTGTAATCTCTTTTGCTTATTGTCAAACACCATCACTATGAAGGTTGTCATGGGTCTCCTAACTTGGCACATGAGCTGAGGAAGCGAGAGAAGAGAGGGAAAGGACATAGCTCACTTTAAAATTATTAATTATCTTCAAAGGATACTTGATGTTATTTCTACTCAATATTTTGGAAACACTTGTATAGATTGAAGGTAGAATTTGTTAGGAGTCATAGGTTACCTCTGTGTAGTTTCTGTGGAGATATGTCTTAAACTCTGCAATCATTATCAGTAAGTTATTGATTACTAACTGCTCTCAATTTTGGGGCCTTTGTAAATCTCCAAGACAATAGGAAATGTACCATTTACTGTCTTGTTGAACTTTATTATTCTTCTGCATTACCTCCTTTTCCTTGAAGCTCTTTTCAGGGACTTTTATACTGTGCTGATGGCCAGGAGATTCTGAGTGAGCACTCAGGGGATTCTGAATATTAAATATATATATATAATATATATGTGTGTGTGTGTGTGTGTTTATTTTAATATATATATTCCCCTGTTTCCCTTAAAGTTGTGGGAAAATACTGCCATAGTCTGAGACTTTTGATTGGTCCAAATGTGGGTACCTAATTTAAGCTGGATCAACGAGTCTCTTTTCGAGTATTTTTTGAAGAACGTGGATTTAGAAAATGTGCTTCTAAATCATCGTGTCTCTCTAGTAAATGAGTAAGATTTTCTAAATTAGGGGTGGCTAGTTATTATTATAATGCAGTGACCCCACCATGGTGCCCTGATGACCTTGCACATGCCTGCCCAGGCCACACAGACAAATGCTTGTGCCAAGACTCAGAATAGCAACTCCAGCAATTCTGAGTCTTGGCAGAATGCCTTCCAAGTCTCCCAGAACAGGATGCGAGGCCTATAAGGAGCTACTACGAAACCGTCACCCCCTTGCTTCCCCATCTTTACTAGGAGTCTGTCATGAGACAGTTTCTCATCCACACTTTGCTGCTGATGCCTTGCCCTTTTCTCCTCCCCTAGGAATAGAGCTGCAGATTGTAAAAACACTTAACTGCTGTCTAGAATTGGCTCTTCATCAACAGGGTATCTCACAACTCACACTGTAGTCATCTGGTCCCCTCATGCTTCAGTGTCTTGCTTTTTGGTGAGTGCTACAAAACCCTGGGGAGCTGGCACCTTTGACTTAACTTTTCCTTTCACTGTCAATGTAAGTCATAAACTGTGTGAATTTAAAAGTGGCTTGCTGTAACTTTACCTGTCGAATCAGTCAGGCTTTGGCCTTGGCCTTGATTTGCCTTGCACATGCTTGCAAGTTATATGTCCTGTCCACTGGCGGTGGGGAAGGGGCTGTTTGATCAATCTTCAATAAAAGAGAATAAAATAGAGACAAGAAAAGAGAGTCTAAAAGTGTTCTGGTTGCTGCCCCTCCAACCTTGCTATATCTTAATTATTTAAGCCTTTCCTAATTCTGCATATTATTAGTTTACGTTGTATTTCTGTTTCTGGAAGTCAAATAAGTCTTGACTCATCTACATGAAATTCCCCTACATTTCTCCAACCCTGGTATCCTGGTGTCAGCAGTTACTAAATTGATTTAAATGAGTCAAATTGTTCTGTGACTCCATTACCCCAATTCCTACTACAGAACACATGCTCTTTTAATCAATGAGTGCTCATTATTTTCCTGTTCACATCTATTTCTGGGGAATTGTTGTGGACAGTGATGGACCAATTACTTATCTAGGTCTGTTCTCAGATGCTACTTTCAGGAGGATTTGGAGTCCTTGATTCCAACCCAGAACAAATTAATCAATTCATATCGGTAAACGGTGAATTGACAAATACAAATTAAAAAAAGATAATTATCTCTGTCGAAAATATGTAGACATTTTCCTCCCTTCTATTTTCTTAAAGCATTTACTTTAGAAAACTTTTAAGTTCTTTCTTCTTTTGGTTTAAACATAAATAAATCCTTTTAATAGCTAAATAAGTCTCTTGCCACTTTTAAAACTCAGGAATGTCTTTCTTAAGTACTTGGGACCATTTCTTTGAAATGTAAACATCAAGTGAGATAGTGCCAACATCTCCCAGTGTCTGTGGAAGGATAGGAGCCTAACTTCCAGGAGCTCTTTGCTCCAACATCCAAAATTACCTTCTGTCATAAAGATAGGAGAAATTTGTTTTTTCTTTGTATAAAGTCAATTAATTAACACATATAGTATCTTAATTACCAGGTGAATTTAGGGTGAATTATGTGTATTAAAAACATGGCATTGTCTAGTCCTCTTATTTAAAGACTAGTTATTGTTTATCTTGAAGACATATATATAATGGGCTGTATCTACCTGCCTAGATAAAAAGGTAAGATTTTTTTCTGTCTTTGCAGTCTCTTGGTGGATTGCCTGTGATACTCATCACATTCTGATTTAATGTTTCTTTCAGTAGCAAATTTCTTTTTTCTTTACTACTTTTGTGGTAATCTTTTCTGTGTTAGGAGAAGACTTTGTTTTTATCTATATTTCTTCAGTAATGAGTCTGAGCAATTACGTTTTAAAAACGTCACAGATATCTTTTTAGGCACACCTAGCTAATGCTTTGTGTCTTGTATAGGAGTGGATGAGGCTGCCTACCTCCCAGCAACAATTGATCTAAATTCCACTTGTCAAGCATGAGTACAGTCCTTCTCACAAAGCAGAACGGATGGTCTTTTGTACTAGATAAGATACGAAGGACAATATTAAGAAAGGATAAGGAAAAATAACTTATAAATATGCTCACTATGTAACCAGCTCCAAATCTCAGGAGGCAGCATAGTACAAGAAAGGCATGAACTTCAGCCAGCCAGTCTGAGCAGGGTTCTCTTTCTAGCTTCTCTACCTACTGTGTCTGACCATGGGCCTGTCACTTAACCACACACAGCCTCAGTTTCTTCACTTAGAAAATCAGCTTTCCCTATGTATACACTCTGTACTTTACTGTACCTATCTCACTGGTGTACTCTGATGATGAGATAATCTGAAGTGTTTCATTCAGAACCTGGTGAATAGTTAGTGCTCAACATTAAATTGTTATAATTTCCAGCGTGCCAACAAGTTTCTTGCTTCTTTCTAATTTCACAATCAGAACTTCAATATTGTTTTTTGTCTCAAAGGCCATTCAATCACTAAGCACCATTCTTAAGTTGCAAATATCCCTGGAGTAAGGTAACCTTTTGAACTAATTTTAGCACCTTGTAAGTAATAGTTTCAAATGCACTCGCTATCTAAAAGTGAAATGTCTTGAGCGAAAAAGGAGAAGGGATGGGATTGATGACTTGGTTGGTGTTACAACGGTGGAGATTGGAAGAGATCTAAAGGAGGATGTGAACTGGAGATGTGAGGTCCATCCTTATAATGGAACCAAGCCAGATAGTATAAAACCCCCAAAGAATCGGCTCTTTGACAACACGAATGAAGATGATATACTCCTCTAGGCATTTTGAATGCATCTGGTCATTTAATACTCACAACATCCCTGTAGTGTACAGAGTAGTGCCCCTGTTAGAGATGAGAAAACTCAATATATTTAGGGCAACTAGTGCAGCTACAACCCAAGTACCCCCAAATCTCAGTAGCCTAACACATTAATTATAATAATGTATTTCTCACTTTCTGTAAGTCAGAAGTAGGACAAGAGTCTCTCCTTGGCAAATTTCTCGCAAGCTGGGACCCTGGGATCCAGGAACCAGTCATAGTGTTACTGGAAAAGGGTCCCAATCCAGACCCCAAGAGAGAGCTGTTTGGACTTCGTGCAAGAAATAATTCAAGGTGAGTCCATAGAGTAAAGTGACAGAAAGTTTATTAAGAAAGCAAAGGACTAAAAGAATGGCTACTGTATAGGCAGAGCAGCCCAGAGGGCTGCTGGTTGGCTATTTTTTGGTTATTTCTTGATTATATGCTAAACAAGGGGTGGATTATTCATGAATTTTCTGGGAAAGGGGTGGGCAATTCCCAGAACTGAGGGTTCCTCCCCTTTTTAGACCATATATGGTAACTTCCAGACATTGCCATGGCATCTGTAAACTGTCACGGCACTGGTGGGGGTGTCTTTTAGCACATAATGCATTGTAATTACTCTATAATGAGCAGTGAGATGACCAGAGGTCACTTTCTTCGCCATCTCGGTTTTGGTGGGTTTTGGTCACTGGCTTCTTTACTGCATCCTTTTATCAGCAAGGTCTTTTTGACCTTTACCTTGCGCCCACCTCCTATCTCATTCTGTGACTTAGAATGCCTAACCTCCTGGGAATGCAGCCCAGTAGGTCACAGACTTATTTTACCCAGCCGCTATTCAAGATGGAGTTGTCCTGGTTCAAACACCTCTGACAATTGTGAGAGTCAGCAGTTTCAGGATTCACTTTCAGTCACACACAGCCTGGAAAAAGGAAGGGAGCTGAATTGCCCCGAAGATTTTAGAGACTGGGTTGGGAAAAGATATACAATATCCGCTCATGCTTCATGGGCATTTTAACCCTAACCTAACTGCAAAGGAGATTGGGAATTGAAATCTTCTTGTGTACCCCTGATGAGGAAACAAGATCTGTGAGGCTATAACCTGTTTTTACCACCCTAGGAAAGTTAGGGTGTCAGTCTGGAACCTCTAATAAGGGCAATAAAAGTGTTGTAATATTCATGAAATCAGTACCTCATACAGAATCATGTAGGAAACCCTCAAGCGGGGGGAAAAAAACCCCAAAAATATTTGTGTTGCTGAAAAGAACAGTAACGTTTTTCTTAGAAAATCTGCAGATTGTTAGATTTACTATTTCTAAGATTTGTTCATGTTCTAAGCATAGGTGAAGTCCAAGAAAGCAATGAGCTATGTTCTGAGTGAGTAATCTTGCCAGTAGCAAATAATTCCCTTTATTTAGAGCAATAATGTTCTCTATGTTGCTGTAGATGCTACTCTGCAATTTTGTTAGTCTTCTGTAAACATAAATCCTGAGTACATTATGGGAGCATGAGAGAGGCAGGATTAAGTAACAGACTGGGTGGATGTGTCTCTTAGCCTGGAGAGAAAGAAGAGATGTACACCAGCTGCAGACCTCCCAAGGGAAACAGAGAAAGATTGGATTTCTTCACCTAGTATTCTAGTGTAAATAAGACTGAGCCCATACTTCCCCAGTAATTAAACATTTGCTTTCATTCTGAAAATCAAAGGTACCTCTGAGAACATCTAAGACAAATTCTTAATGACTGTCATTTGTGAGCTTTGGGAAATAGCATATCACACTTGGGGATATGGCCTCGAAATAGCTGGTGGGGAAACTCCTATCTCATCTTATTCTGAGTCACTGGTGCTAATTTTGCAGTGAGATCAATTTCTGGAAAGCTTACTATGGAAGTCAGGAACAGATAACTGTTGCATAATTACTGAGATTAGAGCATATTCATTTTCCTCATTGCGTGATTTTAATTTAGTCCATCTTACCACAAATGAGAAACGTTGTCAAAGAGTAGTTTGTCATTTCAAAATTAAGGGCCTGGTGTTTTGATTGAGGGGCATAGATGAATGGAATGGGGGGCCTTGATCACAGTGGGGTGTTCCTACAAGAATTTCAAATAAGATGTTAATTGTTTTAATATTTTACTTTTCTCTTATTTCAAGATAATGCAGGTTCATCTGAAAAATTTAACATAAAATTAATATAAGCATTATTCATAAATCTATCTCACAGATAACTACTAAAAGCATTAGTTGTCTATTCTCACAATTATTTTTGCTTCTGTATGTCCCTCTTTCTCTACAGAAATGCACCACACTATATATACTTTGACTTCTGAAAGGAAAATTCACCTAATAGTTTATTTTGGACATTTTCCTTCAATAAATCTTCTGTGATCTCTTTAATGACTGCATGAAATTTCATAGATAATAATATTATTTCCCCTGCCTGAAATATTCTTTGCCCTGGTTTTTGTGGGACTATCTCATTTTATATTATTCACATCTCAGAAAATGTCAACATGCTGAAACCCTGACTATTGAATCCAAAGGAGCCAGCTAGTCATCCTCTATCATATCACTCTTTAAATTTTCTGTACACCCTTTCATCATTGTCTGGTATCTCCTTTCATTTATTTTTCTCTTCTTTTTATATCCTTCCTTCTCTATTTCATTGTTTCCTTCTTTATTTTTTTATTGTCACTTTTCTTAACTCAACTATAAGATTTTTTTCTTCTTACCAGAACAGCTTACTGTAATTATCAGACCATAACGTTTATTTGTTACTCGAGTTTTCTGCTTCCTCTTTGGTTTTTGGTGTCTGGAGATGTCCCTCACCTTCTCACAAGTTTAATTGTGTATTTTAAAGGTATTAAGGATACATTATGTGTATCAAAACATCACTGTGTACCCCATAAATATGTGCATTATTGCTTGCCCATTAAAAAATAAAATAAAAAATATCAGTTAATTATAAACAAAATTTTTAGATACTTTATAGCAATAAGGATTTTTTTGGGGGGATAATTATTCTATTTTGGAGAGTGTGCTTTATAAGACTCTGTTCCATTTTTACATTGTCACCTGATGTAGAGTTAATTGTCCATGTTTTTCTCCAGATGTGTTTTAAAAATTAAGTAAATGTTAAGAAAATACACATGCACTTCAGAAATTGGTGGTAGGTTGTCTAGAATCTACTGAAAGAGATTCAATTTCTCTCTGGGTCATTGAATAAAATTTATTTCATATAGGTAAGACATGGGCTCCTTTTCAAAACCTCAATATTTAATATTTCTTTATAACATTATTGAAGAATAACAAATTCTTAGATGAGCAAACAATTGGGGAATAAGGTAATAAAAATGTATTAGAAAATTTGGAGAGGGCCAAGATGGCTGACTAGAAGCAGCTAGTGTGTGCCACTCTCATGGACAGAAGAAAAAGTGGCGAATAAATACTGGCTCTTCAACGGGTACATCTAGGTGGACAAATTGGGATTGTTCAAGGAAACAATTTAACCCATGGAGAACAGAGGAATGAGACAGGATGATTGCTTACCTGGGAATGGCACAGAGACCGGGGAGGCCTGTCCACTATTGGAAAATGGTGAGTGAGTGAGAGTTTTTAGGGACCCACACTTCTGCCATGCGACTTTGCAACCCTGGACTCAGGAGATCCCCTGTGAGTCCCCCAGGTGGGGCTTCCAGACTGACCCAGAGAGCTATGTGAATTCTGGGTAGAGACACTGCTCCTGCATCTGTGGAATTCTGAGATCCTTGCATCCCTGGGCATCATGGAATTAGCAGCTACAGATCCAGCAGTAGGGGAGGTCAGGCTCCCTCTCATGTCTCTAGGAAAGGGGTCAAATCTATGGGGCTAAGCAGCAATGAACTGCAAGCCTCATGCTCACTGCACCTTACAGGATAAGGACCACTGACCTGGGATCCTAGTGTGACCACATCAGCCCCACCTGGACTCTCAAGCTGGTAGCAGCTCTGCACTTCCCTGGGACAGAGCTCTTATGGGGAGAGTCAGGCTGCCTCTTTTGCTGCCCTGCAGCCCTTGCCACTTGCTGTCCTCAGGCTCTGGAGGGTGAGTAGTGATTAGGGACTGGCATGGATTCCCAGCACAGTGCAGCTGCCCCAAGGAAACACAGCCAGACTGTTTCCCACGCAGGTCCCCATTCCTGCTTCTGCTCACTGGCTGGGGCCTCTTGACCTGGGACCTCAGGACAACTACCTTGCCCCTGCTGGAACACTTCAGTCAGAGATGGCTCCACATTTCTCTGAGGAGGAAATCCCAGAGACAACCCATAGCCCCTCCACCATTGCAGCTGCATGATGGTCCCACCCTAACCACCCTCAGGCTGGGGAAGGAGCAAGGGGCCTGGTTGCTACACTGGCACTTCCAGCATACCACAGCCACCATACAGAGAGGAGTGCAGTCTCTTCCCTGTGAGATTCTATTCCTCATTCTACCAGGCAGGGATCCTGGCTCAGGACTGCAGAACACCTGCCCCACTCTTGGCTTAACATACCCACTGGTAGTTGCTTTGTGTTTCCCTGAGTAAAGGCTACCAGAGGCAAGCAACAGCCCCTCTGCCACTGCCACAGCAGCAGTTCTGACCATGCTGCCATTCATCGGGGGACAAAACAAAAAGCCTGGGGGCTTCATTCACATTTCTAGGACTTGACAATCACCATACAGAAGAGTTCAGTCTCTCCTCCCTGTGAGTTCTCAATCTCCTGATCCTTAACAAGTGAAGCCCCAGGTCAGGCCAGAGGCACAGCCACCCAACCCATGGCTGAACATTCTCGTTACCAGTGGCTCCATGTTTCTCTGAGTTGGAGCTGCAGAGTTAACCAAAAGCCCTTCTGCCATGGCCACTGCACTGGTACTGCCCATGCTGCCCTTGGACTGGGGAAGGAGCAAAGACCCTGAGTGCTTTAAAAACCATACTGCCAGCAAGCTGCAGTGGCCCAAAGGAGAAGGAACCACTCTATCTCAAACATGACATCCCTGAAGCCCTGCTTATCACCAGGCAGGCCTCCCGTTCCCTGGCTTGGGCCCACAGTACATCTGCTTCCTCCTAGGCTGATCACAGTGATTGATAACAGCTCTGCATCTTGCTGGGGTGGAGACACAAGAGACAAATAAAAGGCCCTCTACCACAACCACTGCCAAGGAGTCTTCTTCCTCTGCCTCCAAGCTGGTGGGGAACATAAAGCCTGAGCTCATCCCAGAGCTGCAATGTGTAGCCTGGGAGTGCCAAGCCAGGATCTGCAGCCAGCAGTGAAGTGGGAGAGGAGCCTACACTTTCAGCACATTGAGAGGGAGCATGGTTGCAATGATGAGAAATACAGAGGAGCCAAGTGGCTAAGCAAGAGCCTATATACTGGGCAGTATGCTTATGTACCATCTACTGGATCACAGCCCAAACTTCAACACCCAAAATACTTGAATAATATACCCCCCCGTGAAACCAAGGACAAGGATTCAGCTACAAATAAAGACTCTGCACTAAGCCCTGGCCCTCTGAAAAACATCCAGAAAGGAAGTCTACTCACTGCATTCAAATGACAAAGCAGTTAAAGGAACATCAGCCTACAGAGATGAGAAAGAGCCAGTGCAAGAACTCTGGAAACTTAAAAGGCCTGCCTGTCTTTTTTCTTCCAAATGATCATCCTAGTTCCCCAGCAAGCATTCTTAATCACACTGAAATGTTTGAAATGACAGAAATGTGATTCAGAATATGGATAAGAATAAAGACCATCGAGATTCAGGAGAAAGCCAAAACCCAGTGTAAGGAATCTAAGAGATTACAATGAAATGATAGAGGAGCTAATAGACAAAATGGCCATTATAAGGAAAAAAACAAAATGATCTGATAGAGCTGAAAAACACTAAAAGAATTTTCTAATGCAATCACAAGTATTAACACCAGAATAGACCAAGGTGAGAAAAGAATCTCAGAGCTCGAACTGAGCTCTCTGAACTGACTCAGTCAAATAAAAAGAAAGAAAAAAGCATAAAGAAGAATGAGAAAAAACTTTAAGAAATATGGGATTCTGTAAAGAGACCAAATTTATAACTCACTGGCAACCCTGAAAGAGAAAGGGAGAAAGCAAGTAACTTGGAAAACGTATTTCAGGATATTGTCAAGGAAAAGTTCTCAAACCTCACTAGAGAGGCCAACATTCAAATTCAGGAAATGCAGAGAACCCCTGTGAGGTACTACACAAGATCTGTTTCTTGGCCACCTCCAATATAGGCCCCCAATCTCTTCTAGCTTGTAGAGTTTCTGCTGAAAGGTTTGTTGTTAGCCTGACTTGGTTCCCTTTGTAGATGATCGGGGGCCTATATTCAGTATTCTTAAAGACAGAAATTTCCAATCAAGAATTTCATATCCAGCCAAACTAGGCTTCATAAGTGAAAGAGAAATAAGATCTTTTTCAGACATGCAAATACTGAGGGAATTCATTACCACCAGAACTATCTCCTGAAAAAGCACTAAATATGAAAAGGAAATACTGTTACCAATCACTACAAAAATGCACTTAAATACACAGACCATTGACACTACAAAATAACCACACAAACAAGTCTGTATAATAATCAGCTAACAAGACAATGACAGAATCAAATCCTCACATATCAATATTAACCTTGAACGTAAATGGGTTAAATGCCTCAAGTAAAAGGCAGAGCGTGGCAAGCTTGGTAAAGAATCAAGACCCAATGGTATGCTCTCTTCAAGAGACTCATCTCGCATGCAGTGACACCCATAGGCTCAAAATAAAGAGATAGAGAAAGATCTACGGAGTAAATGTAAAACTGAAAAAAGCAGGGATTATAACCCTAATTTCAGACACAACAGAGTTTAAACCAACAAAAATCCAAAAAGACAAAGAAGGGCATCACGTAATGGTAAACGGTTCAATTCAACAAGAAAAGCTAACTATCTTAAATATATACGCACCCAACAGAGGAGCACCCAGATATATAAAGAAAGCTCTTAGAGACCTATAAAGAAACTTAGATTTCAACACTATAATAATGGGAGACTTCAATACCTGAGTGACAATATTAGAGAGATCATTGAGATGGAAAATTAACAAAGATGTTCAAGACCTGAACTCAACACCAGACTAAATAAGCCTAACAGACATCTACAGAGCTCTCCACCCCAAAATAACAGAATATACATTCTTCTCATCATCACATGGCACATACTCTAAAAGTGGCCACACAATCAGACATAAAACAATCCTCAGCAATTTAAAACAAGATAAAACAAAACACTGAAACCATACTAAGCACACTTTCAGACCACACTGCAATAAAAACACAAATTAATATTAAGAAAATCACTCAAAGTCATACAATTTCATGGAAATTAAACAACTTCCTTCTGAATAACTTTCAGGTAGATAATGAAATAAAAGCAGAAATCAAGAAAACATTTGAAACTAATGAGAACAAAGATACAACTTACCAGAATCTCTGGGACACAGATAAGGCGATGTTAAGAGGGAAGATTATAGCACTGAATGCCCACATGAAAAAAGTTAGGAAGATCTCAAATTAACAATATTACATTACGCCTAGAGGAACTACAGAAACAAGTGCAAGCCAATCCAAAGCTAGCGGAAGACAAGAAATAACCAAAATCAAAGCCAAACTGAAGGAAACTGAGATGAGAAAAACCAAACAAAAGATAAAAAATTCCAGGAGTTTGTTCTTTGAAAAAGTTAACAACATGGACTGTTAACTAGAATAATATGAAAGAAAGAGAAAAGATTCAAATAAACATAATCAGAACTGACAAAGGGGACATTACTACTGACCCCACAGAAATACGAAGAAATAATCAGTGACTACTATGGACATATATCTGCACACAAACTAGAAAACCTAGAAGAAATGAATAAATTCCTGGATACATACTACCTCCCTAGACTGAACCAGAAACCAGGAAGAAACTGAATCTCTGAACAGACCAACAATGAATTCCAAAATTGAACAAGTTTTACAACACCTACCAATCAAAAAAGTCCAGGACCAGACAGATTCACAGTCAAATTCTGCCAGATGTATGAAGAAGAGGAGGTAATATTGCTACTGAAACTTTTTATTGCGAACTTTTTTATTCTAAAAAATTGAGGAGGAACTCTTTTCTAACTCATTCTATGAGGCCAGCATTATCCTGTGAGAGACACAACAAAAAAATAAAACTTCAGGCCAATATCCTTGATGAACATAGACGCAAAAATTCTCAACAAAATACTAGCAAACCAAATAAATACACACATCAAAAATCTAATTCACCAAGATCAAGTAGGCTTTATCCCTGGGATGCAAGGTTAGTTCAACATATGCAAATCAATGAAAGTGATTCATCACATAAAGACAGCTAAAAACAAAAACTGCATGATTATTTCAACAGATGTAGAAAAGGCTATCAATAAAATATAACATCACTTCATGTTAAAAACCTTGAACAAACTAGGCACTGAAGGAACATGATTCAAAATAATAAGAGCTATCTATGTTAAGCCCACCGCTAACATCATAATGAATGAGCAAAAGCTAGAAGCATTCGCCTTATAAACTGGAACAAGACAGGGATGCCCACTCTAACTGGATATCCTGGCCAGGGCACTCAGGCAAGAGAAAGAAATGAAGGTATTTAAATATGAAGAGAGGAAGTTAAACTATTCTTTCTTACAGATGATATGAGTCTGTAATAGAAAACCCCATAATCTCTGCTGAGGAACTCTGTGATCTGACAAACAACTTTAGCACAGTTTCAGGATATGAAATCTATGTACAAAATTCAGTATCATGACTATTCACCAACAACATCCAAGCTAAGAGCCAATTTAGGAACACAGTCTCATTCAAAATAGCCACAGAAAGAATAAAATACCTAGGAATACAGGTAACCGAGGAAGTGAATGATCTGTACAAAGAGAGGTGAAGAACACATTTGAAAGAAATCAGAGATAATACAAACAAATGGAAAAACATTCCATCCTCATGAATAGAAAGAATCAATATTGTTAAAATGGCCATACTGCCTAAAGCAATTTATAGATTCAATGCTTTTCCTATCAAACTACCAATGACATTCTTCACAGAATTAGAAAAACCTCTTTTAAAACTCATATGGAACAAAAAAAGAGCCCAAATACCCAGAGCAATCCTAAGACAAAAGAACAAAGCTTGAGGCATCACATTACCTGACTTCAAACTACATTACATTGCTACAGTAATCAAACAGCATGGTACTGGCACAACATCAGAACAACAACACAGACCAATGGAACAGAATAGAGACCCCAGACATAATGCTGCACATCTATAACCATCTGATCTTTGACAAAGTTGACAAAAACATGCAATGGGGAAAGGACTCTCTATTCAATAAACGCTGCTGCAATAACTGGCTAGCCATATGCAGAAGATTGAAACTGGACCCTTCCTTATACAATATACAAAAATTAATTCAAGATGGATTAAATACTTAAATGTGGAACCTAAAACTATAAAAACCCTGGAATATACTCTAGGAAATACCATTCTGGACATAGGGCCTGGCAAAGATTTCATGACAAAACACCAAAAGCAATTGTAACAAAAACAAAAATTGACAAATGGGACCTAATTAAACTAAGAGCTCCTGTGCAGCAAAAGAAACTATTGAGTAAACAGACAACCTACAGAATGGAAGAAAATATTGGCAAACTATGCATCTGGCAAAGGTCTACTATCCAGAATGTAAAAGAAACTTAAACAAATTAATAAGCAAAAAGCAAACCACCCCATTAAAAAGTGAGCAAAGGACATGAACAGACACTTTTCAAAAGAAGACATACACATGGCCAACAAGCATATGAAAAAAATACTCAACATTACTAATCATTAGAGAAGTGCAAATTAAAACAATGACATACCATCTCACACCAGAATGGCTATCATTAAAAAGTAAAAAAATAACAGATGCCACCAAGGTTGTGGAGAATCTGCTGGTGGGAATGTAAATTAGTTCAGCCATTATGGAGAGCAATGTGGCAATTCCTCAAATAACTTAAAACACAATTACCAATCAACCCAAAAATCTCATCATTGGGTAAATACAGAAATAAATAGAAATCATTCTACCATAAAGTCACATGCACACATATTCAGAATATTGATTGAATAATATTAAACAATATTCAGAATATGTGTGCATGTGACTTTATGGTAGAATGATTTCTATTTTGCACAATTCACAATATCAAACACTTGGAATCAACCTAAATGCCCATCAATGGTAGACTGGAGAAAGAAAATATGGTACATATACACCATGGAATATTATGCAACCATAAAGAAGAATGAGATCATGTTGTTTGCAGCAACATTGGTAGAGCTGGAGGCCATTATCCTAAGTAAACTAATGCAGGAGCAGAAAACATACCACATGTTCTCACCTATAAGTGGGAGCTGAACAATGAGAACACATGGACACAGAGGGGAACAACCGACAAGGGGCCCACTTGAGGGTGGATCGTGGGAGGAGGGAGAGGAGAAAGACATATTGAATACTATGCTTATTCCCTTGGTGACATAATAATCCATATTACAAACTCCCATGACACACAGTTTATCTAACAAACTTGCACATATACCCCTGAACAAAAAATAAAATTTAAAAATAAAAAAGGAAAATTACAGATAGGTCAGACTGACAGTTGTTGCAGATTTCTTGAACTATTGTTTACATCCATCATTACATTATACTTATTGGACACTCAGCTCTTGTTATTTAATGTATCAATAAATAAACCTACAATTAGTAACTGTATCTCAAAATTGTATCAATAAAGAAACATACATTTGGCCGGGCGTGGTGGCTCACGCCTGTAATCCCAGCACTTTGGGAAGCCGAGGCGGGCGGATCACGAGGTCTGGATATCGAGACCAAGGTGAAACCCCGTCTCTACTAAAAATACAATAAAAAAAAAAAATTAGCTGGGCGCAGTGGCGGGCGCCTGTAGTCCCAGCTACTTGGGAGGCTGAGGCAGGAGAATGGCGTGAACCCGGGAGGCGGAGCTTGCAGTGAGCTGAGATCACACCACTGCACTCCAGCCTGGGCGACAGAGCAAGACTCCGTCTCAAAAAAAAAAAAAAAAAAAAAGGAAACATACATTTAATAACTGTAAAAAATTTTGATGTTAGTGATGAATATTTTAATATCTCGTGATTTTATCTTAGACAAGTGAAACTTGGCCTCTCTGTGCTGTTGTTCTCTCATTTGGAAAAATGATGAAGATAAACAACATATTTACCAATATGACTTAACAAATGGCAGTGACTGTTGTCAGTGGTCAAAAGTATTCACGGTATCTTGTAACTTTATCATGACATAGCTCTGCTATAGATTATCTGTTTTATAACATTTTATATTCTTGAAATATCATGTGAGTTTTAATGCTATTAGTCATTAGTATTTGTTTCTATAACACTCTACAGATTTCTTTATTTTACAGTTCTCTTGATTAAACAATGTGTTTGTAAGTATTTCTGGAGAAACATTGTTTACATGAGACCAGGAAAAAAACACTAAAATTTAAGTTTCTGAACTGACAATTTGGCTAGCCTTTCTGAAAGACATACTTGCAGAAAAGATATATATATGTGCCCTCCTTAGTCAAGCATATTATTTGCAAAATAACTGAGTAATATACTGTTATATTAATGGAAAATGTCAGCAAGAAAGTCCTTTACCTGAAATTTATGACTCCAAAGTTTTTACACATATATGAAGTTTAAAATAAACATATTTTCGGTTACTATTTAGGCACAAATAAATCCAGGAAAAGCTTTGACTAGCTAGAGGTTGCCTAAACAGAAAGTTAACATTATTATTATTATTATTATTATTATTAATTACTGATTTGAGCAAGTTAGAAACACCTAGAATGTCCTTTGTGAATTATTTGGCCAGCATGTTCATGGTTCACCACCATAAAAATTAGGTGTACATACTAGGGAAGTGGAAGGCAGTTTTAGCCTCCCCCAAACATATTCTCCAATAGTTTACTCAAAAGACAATCCAAGAAAATATTTCATCTAAACAAATCAGTATACTTGCCATGAAAGTGCAGTTTCAAAACATCTCCAGTCTATTCTATCTTCCCTTTTCCCCTTTCCAACCAATTTCTACCTCTAAACCACAATTATAAGAAAATCTGGGACCCTAGTATTGATTGCAAGATTTTAATTCAATGTCAAAGATTATAAGATTTTAATTTAATGGCAAATAACCTTATCAGTTCATAGAATAAACAGGTACATATGAACTTGACAGCACTCACTAAGATACCATTTTTTTGCACAGTGAAAAGGGGCGGTGGGAACAAATAGGAACTACAAAAGAGTTAGGTATGTGTATGTCAAAAAACACAACTAATAAACTTATTGACATACTTGTGTGTATGTGTTTACTTATTGTTAATTAGGAACACCTTATACTTATCTATTAATATTGCAAGTGTTTCAAAATCCTTCTTCAATATATATGGAGATATATTTCTACAAGGATATTTTTATTTTCATAACTCACAGTCATACATTCACTGTTTTGTTTATATTAGTGTACAGGCTATAATTATAATTGCAAGAGATATAGATAATGTCAATAGCCCTTGGAAAACCAGTCACTTAAATCTCTATTAAGAAATATTCTATTACGATTTTATAGATTTCAAAATACAGAAATGTCCCTGTAAGCTATGATAGTGTCTCTGTGGAAATCAGTAGTCATAGTGAGAAATTAACCTGTCTGTTGAGAAGCTTCTGAAAAAACCATTCCTCTGAATGAACTTTCTCTGAACTTAAAACATCCCTCCTATAATCTACTCACATCTGAATATTAATATTTTGTTCTCTGAAGAGGATGTAAAATTTTTTGTGATTATTATTTTTGCCTCTTTTCAATCAGTTAACAAATATTTGTTCCTTTGCTAATGGCGTGCAAAGCATTTGGTTGGGTGCTTAGGGATTGCAAAGTAGCAAGATGCTGGAGTTCGGCAAAATTATAATTCAGTTGGAATGCCAAGGTGCCTCTAACCTTAGAAGAAAAATAATAGTAAAAAGCAATGGTGCTTCATGACCTACGATTAATTACCCTATCTTTAGTGGAAGTTCAAGTTGCACTGAGTACTGAGGAGGATAAGTTTCTCTTGTTGGAGATATTGGGCAGCACTCTCGGATATAACATAATTTGTAGGGATTTTGAAGACTGGGAAGAATGCTTCACTATGTTAGATGTAAGCCACTAGCTCTGTAGCAGTTGGCATTGACAAGGGACTTATTGAGTGTATGCATTTATCCTCCAGGAAAATGGAAATGTAGTATTTGAATTTCGTAGATCTTAACTGTGGTAATAATAATAACATTAATTAATATTAGTAGTTAATAAAATTAGTAATATCAAGAAAAATAATAAACTACTCTTGGAATATTTACTATGTGCCAGACACCATAATAAGCAGTGTATATAGGATCTAAATTGAGCCACCCATTATCTAAATATGGGGGGAAGCATAATGGCTAAAGCAATAAGGCTAAAAAATAAACTTTGAAGTCAAACAGACTTGTTTTACTCATAACTCTTCCATTTACTGCCTGTGTAACCTTGGTAAAGTTACCCAACCCTTGAAATTTTTGTTTCCTCACTTCTAAAATTGGAATTATTTTGAATACCTACCTCATGGTACTAATTTCTTTTCTTTCCTTTTTCTTTCTTTCTTTTTTTTTTTTTTTCAGACAGAGTCTCACTCAGTCCCCCAGGCTGGAGTGCAGTGGTGCAATCTTGGCTCACATCTGCCTCCACTTCTCAGGTTCGAGCAATTCTCCTGCCTCAGCCTCCTGAGTAGCTGGGACCACAGGTGCACACCACCATGCCTGGCTAATTTTTGTATTTTTATTAGATATGGGATTTCACCATGTTGGCCAGGCTGGTCTCGAACTCCTGACCTCAAGTGATCCGCCCACCTTGGCCTCCCAAAGTGCTGGAATTACAAGTGTGTAATTCCACTGTGTCCAGCCATGACATTAATGATTTTAAGTAAGATAATTAATGTAAAAGTAATTAATCCAGTGCCAAACCCAGATTACTTACTTAAAACTAGCTATTGATATTTTTAATAACTATATGAAGTGAGGATTATTGTTTCCTTAGTATAGATGGGGAGACTAGGAGAGACTACCCATGTAACTAGTAAGCATAGAGCTGGAATTTGAACTGCAGTGTATCTGACTTTAGAGAGTTTGTTCTCTCAATGATTACATTATTATGTTTTTGTTTTTCTTCATTCATTTAATAAACAATTTTTGGTACTGATTAAGTGCCATGTCGATGGCCTTCAGCTAGAAATGCAATGGTGAGAAAATATAAACTCTCCCTGTTCTAAAGGAGACTACAAATGAAAGGTGTAGGCATTAATAGATATTTAATTAAAAACTGAGGGTACTCAGAAGGAAGAAAATATGATTCCCTGAGAAGATAAAATAAACCAAGTTCACTAGGATTGTGAAGTTAAAAAATATTTCCGTGACAAAAGGAAGATCTAAAAGGATTGTGAGATTAAAAAATATTTATCTGAGAAAAGAAGATCTGAAAGATAAGACTAAAAAGATGGCAAGGGTCAGATAATACAGGACCTTGTAGGCAAAAATAAGGATCTTGGGATTTTTCCTAAGGACAATCTAAAGTTATTGAATTTTAAGCAGAAAGTGACCTGATCAGATTTATTACTGGAAAAACCATTGCCTAGTTTGAAGAATAGTGGGAGGCATCCAATATGGATGA
Source organism: Homo sapiens (assembly GCF_000001405.40). Lineage (NCBI taxonomy): Eukaryota > Metazoa > Chordata > Mammalia > Primates > Hominidae > Homo > Homo sapiens. The sequence goes on from NC_000012.12 coordinate 72,849,688, forward strand.
AGGCAAAGCAGTTAGTAGGTTAACTAATAATTATAATAATATTAATTTATATTTTTAATACATTATAAATATTACCCAGGAAGTAGATGAGAGTAGCTTGGATAAGGACTGGTTTCAGATGAGATGGTAATAAGAATAGAAGTTTAAAATATATTTGGGTGATTAACTTAAATAATTTAATGATTAAATAATTATGAAAGAATGAGAGGTAATAATAATGACTCCTAGGCTTCTGGTTCATGCATCTGCAGGACGTGTGGCACCTAAAGTGTGAAAGAGTATCAAAGTTTAGAAGGAAGATAATATGCTGAACCTTGGATATGAGGAGTTTGAAATGCTTTTGGCATCCAGGTAAGTTGAGCAGGCAGTTAGATGTGTAGTCCAGAGAAGAGACTTCAGCTGGAGCCACAAAGATGGAAGTCACCAGCATCTAGATGGTATTTAAGGGCATGGGTCTGATTGCTTAGAGAGAGAGAATCAGAGAGAAGAGAAGACATCCAGCCATGAAAAATTGCACCATTAAATAACTACATCTAGGAGAATGGACATAAGCAAGAGATTGAAAAGAGAACAAAGATACAGTTGGGAAACAAAGAGTGGGTTATGTCACAGAAACCCAGAAAAGAGAAGGATGATATCGGGGACACTAGACATTATGGACTGGGCAATATTGTCAGGTGCTGTGGAAACTTTAATAAGACAAGAAGAGAATAATATTCATAAATTTTTTGGCATGAGGGTCAGTGGTGTGGTGACATCAGGGGAAATTTTCACTGTAGACAAGAGTGAAAGCCATTTTGGAATACATTGAGGAGTGACTGGAGCTGAAGAAACAGAGATAGCAATTATGAACAATTATTTCTTAAAGTTAGACGTAAAGAAGAGTGTGGAGATAAGCTGGAGGCAACTTTGGAGTTTAAGGATGACTTTGTGTAATTTTATGTTACAGAGATGGATCCAGGCAATAGGAACTGGCACACAAATAGGAATTAAAGACAATAATTAATTGCATAAGGATCATCAGAATGCAAAAGTGAAGAGGTCCCAAAGCAGATTATTAAAGGACTGTGCTTAGAAGGGAGAAACCATCTCTTCTAACTCAAGAGGGAAAAATATGTTATATGCTGGCATAAATAGGTTTGTAAGTTTTGTGTTTTGTGGGAGCAATTTAAGAAAGTCCCTGTTGGATTTCAGTTTTCTCTGTTCACTGTTGTCTCCCTGAAAATCAACTTGTCTGCCTTTTAGGATTTAGAATAAAGTTATTATTTATTTATTTATTTATTTGTCTTTTGTTACCATATACGCCTATAAACAACTGAAACTACTGAATGTGGTATTTAAACTATTTTAATGATTGAACAATTTACTTATACAAAGTTAGCCTGAAGCCTTAGGGTAAAGGTTATATACGAAAATCAATAATAAAGGCTAGATCTAACTGGTTTAATGGAAAGAATCAATATGTTGTAAAAGAGCTTTTGAAAGTGGAATTTGTACACTGAAAAAGGGAAGTTTGCTTTTAGCAAAAAAAAAATCCATTATTTTCTTAATTTCTTAAAGAGTAGATTTTTAATATTTTATTTTTTACATGTACATATGTGTATAAATGCATACATATTTAAATGTTTTAAAATCATATAATTTTGTGAACCTTTTGTATCCTAAAAATTTTCTTTTTTTTTTAATTATACTTTAAGTTTTAGGGTACATGTGCACAACATGCAGGTTTGTTACATATGTATACATGTGCCATGTTGGTGTGCTGCACTCAATAACTTGTCATGTAACATTAGGTATATCTCCTAATGCTATCCCTCCCCCATCTCCCCACCCCACAACAGGCCCCAGTGTGTGATGTTCCCCTTCCAGTGTCCATGTGTTCTCACTGTTCAATTCCTACCTATGAGTGAGAACATGCGGTGTTTGGTTTTTTGTGATAGTTTTCTGAGAATGATAGTTTCCAGCTTCATCCATGTCCCTGCAAAGGACATGAACTCATCATTTTTTATGGCTGCATAGTATTCCATGGTGTATATGTGCCACGTTTTCTTAATCCAGTCTATCATTGTTGGACATTTGGGTTGGTTCCAAGTCTTTGCGATTGTGAATAGTTCCGCAATAAACATACGTGTGCATGTGTCTTTATAGCAGCATGATTTATAATCCTTTGGGTATATACCCAGTAATGGGATGGCTGGGTCAAATGGTATTTCTAGTTCTAGATCGCTGAGGAATTGCCACACTGACTTCCACAATGGTTTAACTACTTTACAGTCCCACCAACAGTGTAAAATTGTTCCTATTTCTCCACATCCTCTCCAGCACTTGTTGTTTCCTGACTTTTTAATGATTGCCATTCTAACTGGTGTGAGATGGTATCTCATTGTAGTTTTGATTTGCATTTCTCTGATGGCCAGTGATGATGAGCATTTTTTCATGTGTCTTTTGGCTGCATAAATGTCTTCTTTTGAGAAGTGTCTGTTCATATCCTGCACCCACTTTTTGATGGTGTTGTTTTTTCTTGTAAATTTGTTTGAGTTCATTGTAGATTCTGCATATTAGCCCTTTGTCAGATGAGTAGATTGCAAAAATTTTCTCCCATTCTGTAGGTTGCCTGTTCACTCTGATGGTAGTTTCTTTTGCTGTGCAGAAGCTCTTTAGTATAATTAGATTCCATTTGTCAATTGTGGCTTTTGTTGCCATTGCTTTTTGTGTTTTAGACATGAAGTCCTTGCCCATGCCTATGTCCTGAATGGTATTGCCTAGGTTTTTCTTCTAGGGTTTTTATGGTTTTAGCTCTAACATTTAAGTCTTTAATCCATCTTGAATTAATTTTTGTGTAAGGTGTAAGGAAGGGATCCAATTTCAGCTTTCTACATATGGCTAGCCGGCTTTCCCAGCACCATTTATTAAATAGGGGATCCTTTCCCCATTGCTTGTTTTTGTCAGATTTGTCAAAGATCAGATGGTTGTAGATGTGTTGTATTATTACTGAGGGCTCTGTTCTGTTCCATTGGTCTATATCTCTGTTTTGGTACCAGTACCATGCTGTTTTGGTTACTGTAGCCTTGTAGTATAGTTTGAAGTCAGGTAGCATGATGCCTCCAGCTTTGTTCTTGTGGCTTAGGATTGACTTGGTGATGCGGGCTCTTTTTTGGTTCCATATGAACTTTAAAGTAGTTTTTTCCAATTCTGTGAAGAAAGTCATTGGTAGCTTGATGGGATGGCATTAAATCTATAAATTACTTTGGGCAGTATGGCCATTTTCACAATATTGATTCTTCCTACCCATGAGCATGGAATCTTCTTCCATTTGTCTGTGTCCTCTTTTATTTCATTGAGCAGTGATTTGTAGTTCTCCTTGAAGAGGTCCTTCACATCCCTTGTAAGTTGGATTCCTAGGTATTTTATTCTCTTTGAAGCAATTGTGAATGGGAGTTCACTCTTGATTTGGCTCTCTGTTTGTCTGTTGTTGGTGTATAAGAATGCTTGTGATTTTTACACATTGATTTTGTATCCTGAGACTTTGCTGAAGTTGCTTATCAGCTTAAGGAGATTTTGGGCTGAGACAATGGGGTTTTCTAGATATACAGTCATGACATCTGCAAACAGGGACAATTTGACTTCCTCTTTTCCTAATTGAATACCCTTTATTTCCTTCTCCTGCCTGATTGCCCTGGCCAGAACTTCCAATACTATGTTGAATAGGAGTGGTGAGAGAGGGCATCCCTGTCTTGTGCCAGTTTTCAAAGGGAATGCTCCCAGTTTTTGCCAATTCAGTATGATATTGGCTTTAGTGAATCTGACAATTATGTTTCTTGGAGTTGCTCTTCTCGAGGAGTATCTTTGTGGCGTTCTGTGTATTTTCTATGGGTTTGTCATAGATAGCTCTTATTATTTTGAGATACGTCCCATCAATACCTAATTTATTGAGAGTTTTCAGCATGAAGGTTGTTGAATTTTGTCAAAGGCCTTTTCTGCATCTATTGAGATAAGTATGTGGTTTTTGTCATTGGTTCTGTTTATATGCTGGATTATGTTTATTGATTTGTGAATGTTGAACCAGCCTTGCCTCCCAGGGATGAAGCCCACTTGATCATGGTGGATAAGGTTTTTGATGTGCTGCTGGATTCAGTTTGCCAGTATTTTATTGAGGATTTTTGCATCAATGTTCATCAGGGATATTGATCTAAAATCCTCTTTTTTTGTTGTGTCTCTGCCAGTCTTTGGTATCAGGATGATCCTGGCTTTATAAAATGAGTTAGGAAGGATTCCCTCTTTTTCTATTGATTGGAATAGTTTCAGAAGGAATGGTACCAGTTCCTCCTTGTACCTCTGGTAGAATTCGGCTGTGAATCCATCTGGTCCTGGACTTTTTTGGTTGGTAAGCTATTAATTATTGCCTCAGTTTCAGAGCCTGTTATTGGTCTATTCAGAGATTCAACTTCTTCCTGGTTTAGTCTTGAGAGGGTGTATGTGTCAAGGAATTTATCCATTTCTTCTAGATTTTCTAGTTTATTTGCATAGACGTGTTCATAGTGTTCTCTGATGGTAGTTTGTATTTCTGTCGGATCAGGGGTGATATCCCTGTTATCATTTTTTATTGCGTCTATTTGATTCTTCTCTCTTTTCTTCTTTATTAGTCTTGCTAGCGGTCTATCAATTTTGTTGATCTTTTCAAAAAAACCAGCTCCTGGATTCATGGATTTTTCGAAGGGTTTTTATGTCTCTATTTCCTTCAGTTCTGCTCTGATCTTAGTTATTTCTTGCCTTCTGCTAGCTTTTGAATGTATTTGCTCTTGCTTCTCTAGTTCTTTTATTTGTGGTGTTAGGGTGTCAATTTTAGATCTTTCCTGCTTTCTCTTGTGGGCATATAGTGCTATAAATTTCCCTCTACACACTGCTTTAAATGTGTCCCATAGATTCTGGTATGTTGTGTCTTTGTTCTCGTTGGTTTCAAAGAACATCTTTATTTCTGCCTTCATTTCTTTATGTACCCAGTAGTCATTTGGGAGCAGGTTGTTCAGTTTCCATGTAGTTGAGGGGTTTTGAGTGAGTTTCTTAATCCTGAGTTCTAGTTTGATTGCACTGTGTTCTGAGAGACAGTTTGTTATAATTTCTGTTCTTTTACATTTGCTGAGGAGTGCTTTACTTCCAACTATGTGGTCAATTTTGGAATAAGTGTGATGTGGTGCTGACAAGAATGTATATTCTGTTGATTTGGGGTGGAGAGTTCTGTAGATGTCTATTAGGTCCGCTTGTTGCAGAGCTGAGTTGAATTCCTGAATATCCTTGTTAACTTTCTGTCTTGTTGATCTGTCTAATGTTGACAGTGGGGTGTTAAAGTCTCCCATTATTATTGTGTGGGAGTCTAAGTCTCTTTGTAGGTCTCTAAGGACTTGGTTTATGAATCTGGGTGCTCCTGTATTAGGTGCATATTTATTTAGGATAGTTAGCTCTTCTTGTTGAATTGATCCCTTTACCATTATGTAATGGCCTTCTTTGTCTCTTTTGATGTTTGTTTGTTTAACGTCTGTTTTATCAGAGACTAGGATTGCAACTCCTGACTTTTTTTGTTTTCCATTTGCTTGGTAGATCTTTCTCCTCCATCCCTTTATTTTGAGCCTATGTGTGTCTCTGCACATGAGATGGGTTTCCTCGTTACAGCACACTGCTGGGTCTTGACTCTTTATCCAATTTCCCAGTCTGTGTCTTTTAATTGGAGTATTTAGCCCATTTACATTTAAGGTTAATATTTTTATGTGTGAATTTGATTCTGTGATTATGATGTTAGCTTGTTATTTTGCTCGTTAGTTGATGCCGTTTCTTCCTAGCCTCGATGTTCTTTACAATTTGGCATGTTTTTGCAGTGGCTTGTACTGGTTGTTCCTTTCCATGTTTAGTGCTTCCTTCAGGAGCTCTGTTAGGGCAGGCCTGGTGGTGACAAAATCTCTCAGCATTTGCTTGTCTGTAAAGTATTTTATTTCTCCTTCACTTATGAGGCTTAGTTTGGCTGGATATGAAACTCTGGGTTGAAAATTCTTCTCTTTAAGAATGTTGAATATTGGCCCCCACTCTCTTCTGGCTCGTAGAGCTTCTGCCAAGAGATCAGCTCTTAATCTGATGGGCTTCCCTTTGTGGATAACCTGACCTTTCTCTCTGGCTGCCCTTAACATTTTTTTCCTTCATTTCAACTTTAGTGAATCTGACAATTATGTTTCTTGGAGTTGCTCTTCTCGAGGAGTATCTTTGTGGCGTTCTGTGTATTTCTTGAATTTGAATGTTGGCCTGCCTTGCTAGATTGGGGAAGTTCTCCTGGATAATATCCTGCAGAGTGTTTTCCAACTTGGTTCCATTCTCCCCGTCACTCTCAGGTACACCAATCAGACGTAGATTTGGTCTTTTCACATAGTCCCATATTTCTTGGTGGCTTTGTTCATTTCTTTTTACTCTTTTTTCTCTAAACTTCTCTTCTCACTTCATTTCATTCATTTGCTCTTCCATCACTGATACCCTTTCTTCCAGTTGATCAAATTGGCTACTGAGGCTTGTGCATTCATCACGTAGTTCTTGTGCCAAGGTTTTCAGCTCCATCAGGTCCTTTAAGGACTTCTCTGCATTGGTTATTCTATTTAGCCATTCATCTAATTTTTTTTCAAGGTTTTTAGCTTCTTTGCCATGGGTTTGAACTTCCTCCTTTAGCTTGGAGTAGTTTGATTGTCTGAAGCCTTCTTCTCTCGACTCGCCAAAGTCATTCTCTGTTTAGCTTTGTTCCATTGCTGGTGAGGAGCTGCATTCCTTTGGAGGAGGAGAGGTGCTCTGATTTTTAGAGTTTCCAGTTTTTCTGCTCTGTTTTTTCCCCATCTTTGTGGTTTTATTTACCTTTGGTCTTTGACGATGGTGACGTACAGATGGGGTTTTGGTGCGGATGTCCTTTCTGTTTGTTAGTTTTCCTTCTAAGAGTCAGGACCCTCAGCTGCAGGTCTGTTGGAGTTTGCTGGAGGTCCCCTCCAGACCCTGTTTGCCTGGGTATCAGCAGCGGAGGCTGCAGAACAGCAGATATTGGTGAACAGCAAATGTTGCTGCCTGATCGTTCCTCTGGAAGTTTTGTCTCAGAGGAGTATCCGGCCGTGTGAGGTGTTGGTCTGCCCCTACTGGGGGGTGCCTCCCAGTTAGGCTACTCGGGGGTCAGGGACCCACTTGAGGAGGCAGTCTGTCCATTCTCAGATCTCCAGCTGCATGCTGGGAGAACCACTACTCTCTTCAAAGCTGTCAGGGACATTTAAGTCTGCAGAGTTTTCTGCTGCCTTTTGTTTGGCTATGTCCTGCCCCCAGAGGTGGAGTCTCCTGAAGCAGGCAGGCCTCCTTGAGCTGCAGTAGGCTCCACCCAGTTCGAGCTTCCTGACCGCTTTGTTTAGCTACTCAAGCCTCGGCAATGGTGGGTGCCCCTCCCCCAGCCTCGCTGCCACCTTGCAGTTTGATCTCAGACTGCTGTACTAGCAATGAGCGAGGCTCCATAGGCATAGGACCCTCTAAGCCAGGCACAGGATATAATCTCCTGGTGTGCCATTTGCTCAGACTGTTGGAAAAGCACAGTATTAGGGTGGGAGTGACCCGATTTTCCAGGTGCCATCTGTCACCCCTGTCTTTACTAGGAAAGGGAATTCCCTGACCCCTTGTGCTTCCCGGGTGAGGTGATGCCTCTCCCTGCTTTGGCTCATGCTCGGTGCGCTGCACCTACTGTCCTGCACCCACTGTGCGACACTCCCCAGTGAGATGTACCCGGTACCTCAGCTGGAAATGCAGAAATCACCCATCTTCTGCATTGCTCATGCTGGGAGCTGTAGACTTGAGCTGTTCCTATTCAGCCATCTTGGCTTCACCACAAAAATTTTCTAAAATACGCCCTCCCACTTGATTTTCCTACCTCTACATTATTTACCCAATGACCATGTCATAAACATAAGCATATGTATTCTTCTGCATTTTCTTTATTTTCCAAAGTTATAAGAAAAAATGCTTATATTAATATACCTACTGGGTTTTTAAAATAAATTATTATTTTTCAGCAATGGGTCATAGTATACACTTTTTTGTGAATTTAGATTTTCTTTTTTGCACTCAACTATAGCTTATGGAAATCTTTCCAAGTCAACTGGTAAAGTTCTAATTTAGTCTTTTTAATATTTTAGATTGAGGTTTGTATTACAAATTATTCAGCCATTCCTATACTGGTGCTAATTTACATTTTTAGTAAAGTTTTTTCATTTTTGCTTCTGTAATCAATACTGCTAGACTAATCTTTTTATAAAATCTTTATACTAGTGTCATGTTACATATTTATATGTGTGTATGTGCATGTGCATATCATATGGTGGATAAATTCTTCTCAGAAAAGCAATTTCCAAAGTGTCTAGGTATTTTTTATTTTAATATAGTAGACTTAGGTTGTATAAAAACATGGTTGTAACAGTTAACATTTTTACCAGCAAGGCATAAGAGTGCTTTTATCCTTGCATCTCTACTAAACCAAAATGCAAGTTTTCAAAAGATATTGAGAAAAGTAGTCATCGATAAAGTTGATTATTTAATTTTATTTATTTATTTTTTTTGAGATGGAGTTTCACTCTTGTTGACCAGGCTGCAGTGCAATGGCACAATCTCGGCTCACTGCAACCTCTGCCTCCCGGGTTCAAGCGATTCTCCTGCCTCAGCCTCCCAAGTAGCTGAGATTATAGGCGTGTGGCACCATGCCTGGCTAATTTGGTATTTTTAGTAGAGACGGGGTTTCACCATGTTGGTCAGGCTGGTCTTGAACTCCTGGCCTCAGGTGATATGCCCGCCTCAGCCTCCTAAAGTGCTGAGATTATAGGCATGAGTCACTGTGCCCCACCTTAAAATATTTTAAAGAGTGGAGATTGGTAGATTTGTGAAAAGGATTTTTCCTTTTTGGTATAAAGCTAAGAGATCCATGCATACCATCACTCAAGGAGAGTGCTGAGGACGTCCCTCTCTACCTAAAACCATTGCCTAGTTTGAAGAATAGTGGGGCAGTGATGACTACAGAAGTATTAGGAGTAGGATTTCCTAGTAAACCCTACTAAAAGGTTTAAAGATAAAATATGGGATACCCAAGCTGAATTAGAATGGCTGAATAATGAACGAATAGTCTTTTAGTAAGAATATATCCAAAATGTTTCAAAGCACACACTTATATTAAAAATGACATCTGACACTATAACTTATTCCTTATATTAAATCATATTTCTGTACACATTAAAAACTCCCCTTTATCCCCTCCTCCACCCCACACCCTTCCCAGTTTCTTGACATCCATGAGATCAGATTTGTAGCTCCCACATATGAGTGAGAATGTATGATATTTGTCTTCCTGTGTCTGGCTTATTTCACTTAACATGATCACCTTAAGTTGCATCCATATTGAGGGGACTATAATTAACATTAATATTTTGTATATTTCAAAGTACCTAGAAAAGAATATTTAAAATAGTTCCTATTCAAAGAAATTATAAATGTTCAAGGGGATGGATGGCCTAAATATCCTGATTTGATCATTACACATTTATACATTGTATGCATGTGTCAAAATATCATATGTACCCCATTAATATGTACAAATGCTATATATCAATTAAAAAATACAATTTAAGAGCAAAAAATAACATAATGCATAGGTATAAGCATATTTAAAATAGTTTAAACTTGGAGACTCTCTAAATGCCTATCAATAAGAAAATAGATAAATTGTGATGCATTCATACTATAGAATACAACACTGCAGTTAAGGGTAATGAGTGTAATCTTCATATACTGACATGAAAACATATCCTTGAATAGAAAAAGGGTCTAGAAGAATACTATTAATAGTGACTGCTCTTTGAGGGAGTGACTTTCTTTTTTAACTTATACACTTCAGTATATTACTTTAGTTTCATCAAAATAAGCATGTATGGCCAGGCGTGGTGGCTCACGCCTGTAATCCCAGCGCTTTAGGAGGCCACAGTGGGTGGATCACGAGGTCAGGAGATTGAGACCATCCTGGTTAACACGGTGAAACCCTGTCTCTACTAAAAATACAAAAAAATTAGCTGGGTGTGGTGGTGGGCACCTGTAGTCCCAGCTACTCGGGAGGTTGAAGCAGGAGAATGGCATGAACCCGGGAGGCAGAGCTTGCAGTGAACCAAGATCGCGCCACTGCTCTCCAGCCTGGGCAACAGAGTGAGACTCCGTCTCAAAAAAAAAGCATGTATTACTTGATTTTTATATATTTATTTTGAATTTTTGCATAATTAGTATTTAGAAAACATAATAAATACAAACCAAATTTATAATTTAAAAAACATCTGTTATTTATCTAAAGTTCAAATTTAACTGAAAGTCCTATACTTTAAAGTGCTAAATCTGACAACCCTAACCAGGAGAGTGTGATATCTACACTCTTAGTTATGGCAATACAATTGACTAATCTTTCACACATGCCTTGGAAATCTAGATGGGCTAGTCACCTGCTTAGGGTGGGATTAGCCTTACATTGGTCATTTGCCTGAACAGAGGATAGGTGTTTTCTCCCATTGACCAGATGTAGAACATGGGCAAAGGAAAGCAGTGCGGGGTGTGTGTCCTGCTCTGGTGCACTCCTAGAGGGACACTCCCCTGCTGAGTCCAGTTCACACCTCTACGGGCATGTCTGAACTCAGCAGAGGAACCAGAAGCAGAACACTAATTCCTAGAACCTGAAGAAGGAATAGGCAAACCCCAAAGTAGAGTGCATTTGTGTGAGTCAAGGAAACTTCAGGTAAGAGAGTAATAGTGAGATTTCCAAAGAACCCACAAAAATAGCGAGGAGTGAGAAAGTCAGCATTTTTTTTTTAAACCAAACAGACCAAAGAGTGTGAGGCTTCCCTATGACAGTAAGTAAGGTGCTTCATGTCTTACTTCACTTCTATTTTGCTTTGATTTGGACAGGGGCACAAACTTTGTCTTCTAAATGGTATTAATTCCAAAAACTTTCAATATAAATTATTGAGGGTAGTTTAATTGATGTTAAGAAGAAGGAAGACAAAATGATAAAATCTTCAGGGTGCTGGTGTAAGAGCTACAGCTATTTATGTGTCCTATTCTGAATCCCAAGAATGCTAAATGTAACTTATCCTTTAAAATTTTCATGATGGGTCTTTCCAAATTGTAGGTCCTTAAAATGATCATATCTTTTGGTTCTTTGAATTCCCAACGTAAGGCCAAGTACTTTCTGCATGGTAGGTTAAACATATTTAATAATTGATTGGTGTCTGCTGGTGACCCTTGAAGGATGAGAAATAATAGAAAATCCAAGTCAATGGAACAGACAATAAGATCCCTGGGAAACCAGAAGCAGAGAGATTGGTTTTAGGACAGCTGAAGAAAGTCTAATGGAAAGAGTGGGGGGCCATGTGAGTTTTGCAGGAAAAATAGTCTTTAGGGAAGTTTTGCATGCAGAATGCTTTTCAGGCACATGTAGAATAGGCAAATGGAGGAGGTGTGAATACATGGGTTGTACTTAGTAATTAAAGAGCAGTTGTCTTCGGATGAAGCACAAAGGACTGTACGGATGACTACTGAGAAACTTAAGAAACACATTAAAATAGGTTGTAGTCATACAAATTTGAAATTTCTGCTATAACTTTTAAAGGTATTTGAGAAAAGAGGTGATTTACACAAAAATGATTTATTTATTTTTTTAAAAGTAAGTCCCAGTAAATTCTGAACTGGGAGAAGAGAAAGAGCAAGAGGTTAGAGGCAACAGGAGGCTGGAGCTGGAGTAATGGCCACATAGAGTGTTATTATTTCAAGAACCCTGGAAGAAGTAGGTAAGGATTTGAATAGAACAGTGAAGTGAAACAGAAGAAATTCACATGAAAGGCACTGCAAAGAAGAGACTAATACGATGGCAGAAAGAAGTAGAAATAAAAATTGGCAGGATAGATTGGAGCTGGGGAACATGATGGTCTCATTTTAAGAAATAAAATCTGGAAAGAGAAGAGATTTAAAAGTCTACATGGTGTACTTTATTAAATGAAAAAAAATAAATTGTATAGACTTAAAAGATCCTCACTCACTAGATACAAAAATATTTTGCAAATAAATTTTGTTTTATATCTACGAAAAATGTAAATGCCTTTCCAAATTTATTTTTTAAATAAAAAACTGTTTCTTTTTAAAAGTGAAATACAGCTGTCTTTTTTTTTGTTCTTATGTAATAATTCTGCTGTTTTTAGTTCTCAGTCAGCAGGCAAGCAAGACCCTCAGTATATGTGTTTTCTTTATTTGGTTAGGTTTTGTTGGAATAATTTTTGTATTAAGTCTTATATTAGAATATGAATGTAAATGCTTTGAGAGATCAATTAGCAGTGAATTAAACATGACAGAAGATTTATTTCTCCTCTGCTTAAAAATCTAAGCTGGTATATAATCAGGTTTGAAAACGTTGCTTATTCATCATCAGCATAAATTTCATCCTTGGATTCAAGGTGATTGTTCTGCTTGTTGCTATTTCTCAGCTTAGGAGGAAAAAAGAATACGTAGAAGGCAAGTAGCCTTCCTCTTTTAAGAATGTGATCTGAAAGTTGCTCATATCCATTGGCTAAAACTTAGTCATATGGTTTGGAAAATGTTATGTCTAGGTGGGCATTGCAACCAAAATTGGAAGTAAGAGGAATTTGTTTCTAAAACAAAGAAGGATAGCCTTGTGTTAGAAAACTCATATCTGCTTATATTTCTTAAGAAAATTTTTGGTTTACTTTTGTATTTCTGTAAGAGCTGGGGTCTCACTATATTGCCCAGGCTGTTGTCAAACTCTTGCCTTCAAGCAATCCTCCTGCCTCAGCCTTCCAAGTAGCTGGTATTACAGGCATGAGCCACCGTACCAGGCCAAGTCTGCTTATATTTTATGTATTGCATTCTGTCCTATTAATGTATATTCATTATCTGTCTTTTTCTTTTCATTCTTTATGCTTTTTAAATTATAGATATTCTTATGAAATTTTAATTTATTATGTATAGCAGAAAGATGCCAAGACACTCAAGGACAATATCCTCTTTGGTAATTATTTGGATTGAAAGTAGTATGAAGCCATATCACTTGTCCAAATAAGAGTCTTTAGATTTACTCAAAATGATAATTTTCTATTTGATAGCCTAGATATATTAATTACAAGAGATAATTTCTGCTAGTCTGTAGTCTCCCTTACCTGAAGTGTTTTTTACATGATTAAACATGCATGGGAGGGTTTATTTGTTTATTTATTTTTGACTAAAGGGGATTCTTTTGGGGTTGATGTTCTTGGGAAGAGAAAAAAAGCTATGAGGATGATAGAGATGAGGAGAATGCACACACTTGCTCCATAAACTGATCTTGAGCCATTTGAAAAGTGTTTCTAAATGAAAAGATGAATGAGCTGTGTATATGGACAAACGTGTTTGACCCTGGGCACAAAGCACTGCTGCTGAGAGACCCAGGGGTAATGGTGACATGAGTTCTAGATATTCATTTTTCATCCATTCCTCAACCCCGACACAGACAGTAAGATGTATTTGTGGTCCCAAGGACTAACAGAGGAAGGAAGAAGGGGTCACTGTGCCTGAAGATCATGGAGTATGGGGAAAGTAAAGAGTAGTGTGTTAAAGTTGAAGAAAGATAAGTGTATTTATTGTGTTCCTACACGGGAGTCCCAGAAACACCTGGGTGATCGTGATGGTGGTAAATCTGGTGGAAGTCCTCATTAATGGATAGGTGTAGACTTGGAGCAGGGGACCATAATGGATTATTTCCAATGTAACTTAATATGCGCTTAGAGATAAAGTTTAGGACAGTACTTCTGAAACTTTAATGTACATATGAATCACCAGGAGACCTTGTTAAAAGGCAGATTCTGATTTAGTAGCTGGGGTGGGGCTGAGATTGTGCCTTTCTAATAAATTCTCCGGTGATGCTGTGCTGCTGTTCCACAAACAACACTTCCAGTAGCAAGGGATTAGTAATATTGAATTAATCAAGGTCTCATCCTCACCATCTGCTAATTCTTATTGCTTTCTTTCCTACAGTCAGAAAAGCCTGAATTTCAAAACTGACTATGCTACTTACAAGTGTCATTGAGTAAGTTATTTAACTTCCCTGAGGCTTAGTTTCACTACTCAAGTAGATTTTTATTAGCATTGTAGTATTTGCTATTTCTATCCAGCAGATATTTCGATTTTCTTCCTGTGCACCTGGTTGGATTGCATGATTAAGCCCGTTTGGAGTTAGGTGAGGCTACATATATGCTTTGTCATTAGTATGTAGGCAAAAATTTTAATATATCACTTGTGTGGTTTGTTACCTTCTCTTTTTGTCTGCTATGATCATTGGTAATGTTCTAGTAAATGTTTTATCATGGGAACCACTAGAGTAAAGCCCTTAGCAAACCCTTGGTGGACATGTAACATGCAAATAAACTTTTATTGCTTTAAGCCATTGAGATCGTGGAGTATGTATTATTTCAGTGCAACATGGCATACTCTGACTGATAGAAGCATTAAATGGAAAAAGTCACATACATTGGTTATGACACAGATATTCTTTTCCCATTGTTTTCTGCTTCCAACCTCTTATAATCTAGCTTTTTGTCATCTCTCTGTGTATATATAATAAGAGTAACAAGATAATTTAGAAATTGGCTAAAAGCTACATTTATGTTTTTTAAAAAATCCTTTTTCATTCTTATAAAGTAATAGTAATTCAAAAATGCAGAACTTGCAGATAAATAAGGCCTCTTTTTCTCCATGATCATGTCACGTCAGCTAGACTGTTCCAATGAATTCTAATCTGTTGGGTGATATGTAACAGTAAGTGATTGGGAAGCACAACAACTGATGAAGCAGGCCCATGAAATGGACACTTAGTCAGAGGGATGGCTGTTTTCTATTTATAATATTGCATTTTTATTTCTGCATTTTTTTGTTTGCAAAAAGAATGTCATTTTTATTATTTCTCTGGAAACCAATTTGAGTTTGGCATGAATGTAGCAAATGCTCTTCTATTCTTGAGCTGTTAGTTCTTTTAATGTTTCCTCTACCCTAAGAAGAAAAGTGCTAAGCAGCATTTCTTTGACCTTTTTGCTGGGTTATAATTTAAATGTCTGGTATTTCTTTTTCTGCTCACCTTTCATCCTGCTCTATAATCCATGTGACAGAACAAGAATCACTAGCGAATCAAAATAGAGACAATTTACAAGTAATGTTTAAACCAATCTGCCTTTGAACTTTCCTTGTAATTATTCTCTGTCATTTCTCCTTTTTTTTTCTAATTTATATACTAACTCTCTCTCTAAGGGAAGTTTTTTCTTTATCTCTCATTGTACTTATGTTGTTTTAAAAATATATCCCTTAACTCTTGAAAATATTAATATATAAGATTTCTCTTTTCATGATTCCACTTAACATATGTAATATCTTGAAATTCAAGCGCAATGCCCAATAGCCATTTATTCATTCATTCATGCATTCAACAAATATTCATTGTAGCATTCTATTTAGTTATGAGTACATAGCGTTGAAAAAAATTGTAGCTCATGAGGGATGAGCTTCATCCTTCATGAAGCATATATTCTAGTAGATAGAGCCAGGTAATAGACAACAAAAGAAGTATGCAAGAAAGTAATGTTATAGGAGAAAAATGAATCAGAAGAAGAAGGCACAGAGTGTCCTCAAGTATGCTGCTACTTTAAATAAGATATACTGGGAAGGCCTTGTCCATAAAGTAGTATTTAAGCAGAAGCCTGACAGAGGTAGAGGCAGAATTATGAGATATCAGTGGAAGAACTTTCAGACAAGAGGAAATAGCAAGTATAAATGGCAACATTGTCACTAGACTCAGGTTGATGTAGGATTTGCCAACTTCCCTTTTGACTTTGAAGGTTGCTCTGGGAATCAATAATGAGTGACAGATGGAAGAGGAGAGAGGGTAGCTGCATGGAAAGTTTTATGAATTAGTCTTGGGTGTGGAGTGCCTCACTTTTTCTTCATTCCATTGACCAGGAATTACTTAGATGACCACATCTAAATGCATGGGAGGTTAGGAAATAAACTATAGCCTGGTATTCAGGAGGGAAAGAATAGGGAATTGAGAAATAAATGAGTAGTTTCTGACTTAGCATATACAATACTGTACTGAATTTTTTATATTATTTATAATTTGCTATCTCTGAGTATCAAAATACTGAACACATCCAATGAATGAAATTCTTAGAATAATTATAGGACTATCCATTAAGACATCATGTTATTACAATAAACAAAGAGTACTTTGTTCTAGTGAGCAGTATATTGAGAGAGTATGATTCCTTTGGATTGCAAATGACCCACTGCGGCAGCCAAGTCTCATAATACTTGGGATGTCTTTCACATAACTCTGCTTTGACTGTACCTTTGTGGTTAAAGGAGGCCTCCTTGAGATATTCCTTTGGGTCCCATTAGTGGAAAGCAGGGCATCTGTATTAGTCTGTTTTCACACCACTGTAAAGAATATTACCTGAGACTGTGTAATTATAAAGGAAAGAGGTTTAATTGACTCAAAGTCCCGCAGGCATAATAGAAGCATGGCTAGGGAGACCTCAGGAAACTTACAATCATGGCAGAAGGGGAAGCAGCCTCCTTCTTCACAAGGCAGCAGGAAACAGCATGAATGTGAGCACAGAAAAAAACTGCCACTTTTAAAACTATCAGATCTCGTGAGACTCACTCACTATCATGAAAATAGCATGGAAGAAACCTCTCCCAAATCCTATCACTTTCCTCTCTCTACCCATTGGGATTACAAGTCCCTCCCTCCACATGTGAAGATTACAATTTGTGATGAGATTTGGATGGGGACACAGAGCCAAACAATATCAGCATCCAAGTTTACTGTTCCAACAAGACCACTCTTTACTTGAAATGGGTAATTTTTCAAAATAAATAAAGCTGCTTTTAGGGAAAATGGATAATGAAGAATGCAAATGATAGATCTTCACTGTTTTATACATACATATGTGTTTGTTTACATATATATAACATAAAATGTACTAAATAATATATTGTACATAGCAAGCAGTATGTAATATATAAGATGTGATCTGTGTGTATATATACATATACCTATGTAAATATGTATACATATACAGTTTGAGCATCTCAAATCTCAAATCTGAAATTGTACAAAATCTGAAACTTTTACTGAGCACCAACGTGATGCTCAAAATAAATGCTCATAGAAGCATTTCAGATTTCAGATTTTGGGATTTGGGATGCTCAACCAGTAAATAAGGCAAATATTACAAAATCTGAAAAAATCTGAAATCCAAAACACTCTGGCCCTAAGCATTTTGGATAAGGGATACTCCACCTGCATATATGTCTGCCATATTTGATTCGCATAATGGAAAAGAAGAACAATAACTCTTATTTAAGTTAGGCAGAGTTCATTTAGCATATTAAAACGCTTGTTTTCTGTCTAATCATAATTGGCTAAAAACCAAAGAAAAAGATCACATGTCATGATTGTATTTATTTTCATTTGCTATGTGATTTGGTAGTTATGGTATAAAAACCTTGGAGATTTTATTAAATAGGTCAGGTCCACATTCAAATAAGCAGATTTCTATTATATGTTAATCTGCTGAGCATATTGCTGTTCATATTTGCTTCACTACTTCTTGAATGAATAGAAGAGTTAAGGGGTAGATGGGGATTAAGGGGTAGATGAAGCTTCTGAGAACAGAGTGCCTGGGTTTGAGTCCTGGCTCCACTATTTACTAGCTGGTTGATCTTGTGTAAAATACTAACCTCGGCCTCAGTTTCCTTATCTGTAAAATGGGGATGAAAACAGTATCCCTCTCATAGGACTATTGTGAGGATTAAGTGAGTTAATATATGCAGAGTACTTGGAACAGCATCTAGTACATAGAAGGCACGATGTAAGTGTTAGCTGTTTCTGTTAATTATTTATTTTTTCAAACTCTGGAATAAATCATAAGCCCTTGAAGATAAAGATCACGTCTAAAAATTATATTTAGCCCTTAACACAGTGTCCTATAAGGTACCTAACACATGTTTTTGAATGAATAAAGTAATGAGCAAACAGTTACACATTCTAGCATTCATGTTGTATGTTTAATGTAGCCCATTCCTTACTTAACTCAAACTACCTTTGTTACTTTGTGACTAAACTGTTATTTTTCAATAATAAAGATAAAATGCGCTGGGGTAGGTGGCTCATGCCTGTAATCCCAGCACTTTGGGAGGCTGAGGTGGGCAGATCACTTGAGGTCAGGAGGTCGAGACTAGCCTGGCCAGCATGGCAAAACCCTGTCTGTACTGAAAATACAAAAATTAGCCAGGCATAGTGGTGGGCACCTGTAATTCCAGCTACTCAGGAGGCTGAGGCAGGAGAATTGCTTGAACCTGGGAGGCGGAGGTTGTGATGAGCTGAGATCATGTCATTGCACTGCAGCCTGGGCGACAGAGTGAGATTCCATTTCAAAAAGGAAAAAAATAAAAAGATAAAATGATATATTTTTTAATAAAACTACGTAGCTGTTAATGATTTGTTTCAATTTTGTGTGCCCCGCATTGTCAGTGGGAGTACAGTTGAACTAATCTTGATGGGAAAAAAATGACATTATTCTATACAATTGACTACTCACATATTTTCCCAGAAATTCTCCACCTAGTTAAGGATCTAAGATAACTTCTTGCACCTATAAACAGAAGACATACAAAAGCATTCATAATAAAACTGTTCATAAAAACAAATTCCAGGAACCATCTAAATGTTCAGAAGAACACGGATAAACAAGCTGTGGTAATACAGTCATCTCTATTTGTTGTTTGAGATCGGTTCCAGACCTCCCTTGGATACTGAAATTTGCAGTTGCTCAAGTCCCTGCTACCAAATGGTGTAGTATTTGCATATAACCTATGCACATCCTCCTGTAAACTTTAACTTATCTCGAGATTACTTATAATACCTCACACAATGTAAATGCTATGTAAATAGTTGATATGCTGTATTGTTTAGAGAATAGTAACAATAAAAATGTCTGTCAGGTTCAGTACAGACATAATTTTTTGAAAAGTATTTTCCACCTGTGTTTGGTTGAATCCACAGTTGAGGAACCCACTGATACAGAGGGCTGAGTGTATATAGAATAAAATAGAAAAGTATAGTAGATTGTAGCAGTAAAAATCCCAACTTTTATTTATCCCTTCCTTAATCCATGTGTTTAGATAGCACCTTTGCTTACTGACTCTGGGCCTTACCACATGCTTTGGCCAATGGGACAACAGCAAACGTGTTTCAAGAAGAAACTTAAAAAATGCTTGTTTATTGGAGCTTGTGGCTCATGGAAACTCTGTGACTGCCACTGTTTGTACAAGCCCATGCCAACTGGCTGAAAACATGTTTTTCCAGTTAACGTTATAACCTGAGCTGACAGCCATCACTTACCGACAGCCAGCACGTATCGCCAAACATGTAAGGAATGCCATCCTTGAGTGTCCAAGTTCCACATAAGTCTGTGAGGTGATTCTAGCTGTACATGTGTGCATAGGGAAACCAGCATAATAAGTATTGTCCATTTAAGCCTAACCTAAGTTGTTGACCCACAGAATTGTGAGCTTATCCTTGAACGCTCTTTTAAGCCACTGAGTTTTGATATGGTTTATTATGCAGCAAAAACCAACTCTTGTGAGAGTAAAGGGAAATGACCAACAGTTACATACAACAGAATTAAATTATATAACATACTGTTAATTTTTTTTTTTTTTTTGAGATGGAGTCTTGCTCCATCACCCGGGCTGGACTGGAATGCAGTGGCTTAATCTGGGCTCAGTGCAACCTCTGCCTCCTGGGTTCAAGTGATTCTCCTGCCTCAGCCTCCTGAGTAGCTGGGATTACAGGCATGCACCACCAAGCCCAGCTAATTTTTTGTATTTTTAGTAGAGATGGGGTTTTACCATGTTAGTCAGGCTGGTTTCGAACTCCTAACCTTGTGATCCACCTGCCTTGGCCTCCCAAGTGCTGGGATTACGGGTGTAAGCCACTGCGCCCAGCCAGTACTGTTAATTTTTTAAAAAGCAAGTAGCAGAGGTCTACCTGAAGTTTGCAAACCTATTAAGAAGTAAATATAAATAAACATTGCCAAAATAAAGATAATGCTTAAGCATTTATATATTATGTATGTTAGTAATTAAGCAAAAATTAACCACAATTTCAGAATATAAAGATGACAGTGTTTAATATTTTAATGTTCTTAACTAGCATATTTCTATACATAAAGGTAACATAATTGAATCGTAAAATGAATTAAAATGTACATATTTTTATACCTTAACATGCTATTAAATTCTCCAAAAATATAATTGAAGACTGCTACTAATTCATCATATCAAATAATGTATATATTTAATCAGTCTCTCATTCTTGGCATTTGGGTTATTTATAACTTTTTATTAACAAATGCAGTAAACAGCTTGGTATATAATTTTATACATTTTGAGACACAATCCCCATAGAATAACTCCTTAAAAGTAGTTTTAATAAAAATATTATAAATATACTCAAAAGTTATTAATACATTTTTATTAATTGCATTTTGGAAAGGGCAAAAATTTATATTCCAGCAGAAATGTGTGAGGTTACTTTCAATGTTTAACTCATGCAAGCATTTGGTATTATTCTATTGATAAACTGACAAATTGATAGGCAAAAATAACATCTCATTTTTAATTAAGTTACTAGATGAATGTACAATCTTATTCATTAGTCATTTGTATTTTCACATATCTGAATTATCTTTTCATGTACTTTACTCTGAATACCTTCTTTTGACAGTTTATAATACAGTTGATTGGGTTCCACCTTTCTTAATTACAATCACATTCTAGTACCTGCTATAGAGATTATACCCTCATCACCTTGATTGTACTTCAGTGTTTCTGCAGTTTTCAGTCACACATTTAAAACCATACTTTTCTCATGATTAACCTCTTATTTTATGAGTATCTTATTATTCCTATATTTGTACAGTGAGTTTTATTCCTTTGAAATACAAGACCAAGCTGAGATGGCTCATTTTGAGTTGGTTCTTAATAACTATATAAGGCATAATTATTTCCATAATTAAAGAGCACCTCAGTAGTTCTTAAAGAAATTAGAAGAAAAAGTTATAAAAAAATTTATATCACTTTGTTTCTACATAGACTCTACCATTTGGTTTAAGAATTTGCCAATTGTGGAATGAAATTAGTGTGATCACAGAAGATAACACTATTTGAAAACTTCAAGTGAACGAAATGTGGTTTCAAGATGATAGATTAATAACAAAATTAAAACAAATGGTATCTTGGTAAACTTCCTTTTGGTAGCCAAACTTGGATACAAATGGTCTTTCATTTTGTAAGTTAAAGAAAATGATAAATGTGAAATGCCCACTAGTCTAATTCAAAGATCTATTGGGTCACTCATTCTGTTTTGTTTTTCAATGACTAAATAAAGAGGAATCAAAACTATATTTAGGAAAACATAAAAGACGGATTAAAGTGAAACGAATAAAAATGGAAATAACACCAAAAGGTGAAAATTCAAGGAAATTATATTATTAGGCTCCTGACTGTAAAGACATAGAGTATAATGAAGCTAATTCTTTCCAAGTGGCAATAATTTCCCAATGAGTTTATTTTGAAGTCTAACTTAAAACAAAATCACATTTGCTTTTTCTTCTGAGTTAAAACTTTTTGGATGTATTCATATTTTTCTCTGTTAACACTGTAAAGGTACAGTGAGCACACAGGATGAGTTATATGTAGAAGTGTTCAGGTTTGAAGCCTAAAGCTTTTGGCTACCGCAAGTCATTCATTAGGTTGGGATGCCATAATAAACACCCTTGAAACAGCACATTTTTCATTATATATATATATATTTCATTTTATATATATATATATATATTTCATTATATATATATATTTCATTATATATATATATTTCATTATATATATATTTATTTTTATTTTTCTCCATATATATATATTTCCTTACAAAACTGAGTTTAGACCTGTAGGCAATTGAGAGTGCATGAAAACAAAAGTATTTTTGTTTTTAGAAAGGCCATCAAATTAGTGCTAGAAGACACCCCTCCCTTTAGGCATACGTGTTCCAAGACTTTATCCCTAAAGGGTTTATTTAGGACAATATTTTGACTTCCTAGACTACCATTATGCCATTATTCCCATAGTACTGATAGGTGGAAATAGTATTAAAATGGATGTAGCTAATCAGGAAATAGGCTCTACATATTACAATAGTTCTTAAAGATATTAAAGATAATAACTTGACATGTGAAAAATTGTTATAAGAGCACTGCAACAGTAGCATAATTAAATACAATTTAGATTTGTCCTGAATCTGCCTATCAAAACTATTTGTTTGAAAATCAAGTCCTTTATATCTCTCTGAATATGCAGCAAGTTCTTTTCAGTCAGTAATACAATAGATGAATATTGTACTACTCACAGAAATCTTTAGCATTCATTAGGATTTCATTATGGAGTTAAGGAGGAAATAGAGAAAAGGAATTGCCTTCTGTCAAAAGAATTTACATGTAGTTTGCTTCAGGAGACTGATTGCTACAGAGAGAAGGGGAAGATAATGTGATTTGTTAATGATAACCAAACAGTATTGCGGACAACCTCATCATTTGTAGCTTTTATTAGATTGTCATTATTCAATGCTAAGAATACTTTGCATTTCCATTGTTACTCACACTTTCAGAGAGTCTGACATGCTTCATTCCTACAGCCCTTCTGCCTTTCAGTTGAAATAACCACTTGGAAATAAGTAGCTGTAATTAAGGTAAAGGGTGACAAATAAACATTTGCTTAAACACATACGCATATACAGAAGTTGTTCCTCTGAAAAGCTGTAATGCTCTGGGACACCTGCTGGGTAATTGTCGGTTTGATCCGGGAGGTGAGTGCAGGAATCGTCATCAGTCTTTGTTTTCCACTCTGAAAGATTTACAATTTGCATGTTATTGTTTTTGTTGGCAAAGGCATACTCATAAATCTATGAAGATCATTTAAGAGGCAAATTGAGATGGCTCAAGAGAAATGTTTTGTAAAATATAATTTGTAATTTTTTTTTTTGTAGTTTGTTTAGAGTTCAAGCCTAGAACAGTAGATTCCCAAAGCTACAGGGTCTTAAGAACTATCTGGAGATTGGAAAAGATCACTACAAATCGTAGTGACAGAGACAGGAGACAGCCAGGGGTCTCCAGGGAAACCCTGCCTTCAAGTCTACAACAGCCTGAAGGCTGAAAAACTGGACTGCTGGTTCTGGATGAAGCCCACCCTTTCCTGACTGATTCTCCCTGAGCAATGCCCACCTGCGCACTGGGAGGACAGGGTGGAGCTTCAGGAAGTTTGCGCTGGTTCGCAGTGGGGAGGAGCCTGGCCTCTTCAGTTCCTGGGTGGTGACCTGGAATTCAATCTGTGAGGCAGGAAACATGCTAGCGGGACTCTCTCTTGCTTTGCTGAGAGTTATTTTTCCATTATCCTTTTCACCCAGTAAATTCCATTTTCCTCACCCTTCTTTATGTCCGCGAGCCTTATCTTTCCTGGTCGTATGACAAGAGACTGGTTTTAGCCAAACTAAGGAGAAAATTCTGCAACGGTAGCAAGAGATAGAATCTATTACTGCCACTTCTTCCAACCCTCCAAAATGACTGTGCATTCCTACCCATTACCTTGTGATTTGCAATGCTTCCAGTGGGAGGATCATATATTCCTTCCACATTAATGGCATGTGAGCAACACTGAACAGATTTATGAACCAAAACATACCTTTATCACCTCTCTTACTCTTTTTCCTTTACCCTGAGATCAGTGTTGTCCAAGTAGAGCTTCGGTTTCTGTCTTGGTCCCAGACTTCATGGAGCAGAGAAAAGCTGTTTCCATAGTGTCTTACCTGATTTTCTAGTCAACAGTTGCCGTTTTATACCACAAAGTTCGGAGTATTTTTATGGAACAATTAATGGCAGAATATTAATTCACTTATATGTAACACTGAGCATGTATTTTAAATTTGAAATATGTTTTGTTTCTTCTGAAAACTATATTTGACAATAGTCAACTAGCCATGAACACAGAAAAATTTACAAGTACATTCCCCAGGCAGTCAGCTCAGACTGATACTGGCTCAAGGTACTGAATTTTTTTTTTTTTTCAATTTATTTTATTGTGGTGAAATGCACATAATGTAGCATTTACCCTCTTAATCATCTTAAGTGTAAAGTTCAGTCATATTAAATAATTCATACTGTTTTACAACCATCACCTCCATACATCTTTATAATTATTTTCATAATAAAACGGAAACTCCATATACATTAAACAGTAACTCCCCATTTCCTCCTTCTCTTGGCAATCATCATTATACTTTCTGTCTCTGTGATTTGGACTACTCTAGGATCTCATATAAGGGAAATCATATAGTATTTGTCTTTTTGGAAACCGGCTTATTTCACTTAGTATAATGTCCTCAAAATTAATCCATGTAGAATATGTCATAATTATACTTTTTTCTAAGGTTGAATAATATTTTATGGTATGCATATGCCACATTTGGCTTATCTAGTCATCTGTTGATGTACATCTGATTTGTTTCCACATATTAGCTATTGTGAATATTGCTGCTATGAACATGGTTATACAACTATCTCTTTGAGATCCTGTTTTCAATTTGTTTTGGTATATACTCAGAAAAGAAAATGCTAGATCATATTGTAATTTCATTTTTAATTTTTTGAGAAACTGCCATACTGTTTTTAACAGTATATATATTTTACAATCCTACCAACAGTGAACAAGTGTTCCAATTTCTCCACATCATTACCAACACTTGTTATTTTCTGCTTTTTTTTTTTTAAATACTAGCTATCCTAATGGGTGTGACGTGTTATCTCATTGTAATTTTGATTTGCATTTCCATAATAATTAGTGATGTTGAAAATCTTTTTATGTGTTTATTGGCCATTTATATATCTTCTTTGAAGAAATGTTCATTCAAATCCTTGCCTATGTTTGAATATGTTTTTTTTTGTTGTTTTCAGGAATTCCTTATATATTCTATATATCCTGTATATACATATACAGGATAAAAATTCTCTCTCTCTCTCTCTGTGTATGTATCTCAAATATTATATTTTGCAAATATTATTTTCCATTCTTCAGGTTGCCTTTTTACTCTGTTGATCTTGTCTTTAGTTACACAATTAAAACAATATGAAGTCCAATTTATCTGTATTTTTCTTTGATTGCCTGTGCCTGTGGTTTTATATCCAAAAAATCATTGCCAAATATAATATCATTAAGTTTTGCCCTATGTTTTCTTCTAAGAGTTTTATAGTTTTATGTCTTATATTTAGATTTTTGATCCATTTTGAGTTAGTTTTGCATATGGTGTTAGGTAAGTGTCTGACTTTATTATTTTGCATGTGAATATACAGTTTTCCCAGCATCATTTATTGAAAAGACTGTCCTTTCTCTATTGAATGGTTTTGGCACCCTTGTCAAAAATTATTTTTTGACATACATCTCAACATTTATTTCTAGGCTTGTATTTTATTTCCTTAGTCTACATTTCTGCCTTTATGCCAGTATCAGGCTGTTTTGATTACTATAGCTTTGTAGCAAATTTTGAAATCATGAAATGTGAGTCCTCCCACTTTGTTCTCTTTCAGTTTTTTTTTTTTTAAGATATCTGTGGTACCTTTTAATTACATATGAATTTTACAATAGATATTTCTATTTCTCCAAAAGATGTCATTGGGATTTTAATAGAAATGGCATTGAATCTGTAGATCACTTTGGGCAGTATTGACATCTGAAAAATATTAAGTCTTTCAATCAATGAATAGAAGATGTGTTTCCACTAATTTGTCTTCTTTAATTTCTCAGCAATATTTTGTTGTTTTCATTGTACAATTCTTTCATCTTATTGCCTAATTTCTAAGCTTTTATTCTTTGCGAATTCTATGCAAGTGAAATTATTTTATTATTTTTATAATTTCTTTTTCAGATTGCTCACTGTTAGTGTATAAGAATGCAATTGATTTTTGTTTGTTTAGCTGAATTCTGCTACTGTGCTCAATTCATATATAGGACTCTTTAGAGCCTCCTACATATAAGATTGTAACATCTATAAAAAGGAATTTTTTTTCTTCCTTTTCAATTTTGATGGCTTAATTTCTTTTTCTTGCCTAATTGTTCTAGCTAGAACTTCAAGTACTATGTTGAATGGAAGTGGTGAAAGCAAGGATCCTTGCTATGTTCCTGTTATGACAGTAAAACCTTTTAGCCCTTTACCATTGTATAGTATGTGGGCTTTTCATATATAGCTTTTATATGATGAGGTAGTTTTCTTTTATTCCCAGCTTATTGATAGGGTGTTAAATTGTGTCAAATGCTTTCTCAGCATCAATTGAGATGATCATGTGTTTTTCCCTATCAGTCTGTTAATGTAATGTATTACACAGATCAATTTTCATATGTTAAACCATCCTTGCATTCCAGAAATAAATCCCACTTGATCATGGTCTATAATCCTTTAAATATATTGCTGAATTTCATTTGCTAGTATTTGTTGATGATTTTGCATCAGTGTTTATAAAGGATATTGATTGGTAGTTTTCTTTTCTTGTGGTGTCTTTGTCTGACTTTGTTAGCAAGTAATGTTGGCCTCATAGTATGTGTTACAAAGTGTTTTCCCTTCTACATTTTTCGAGAAAAGTTGGAGAATTTGTGTTAGTTATTTAAATGTTAGGTAGAATTCACCAATGAAGCCATCAGATCCAGGACTTTTTTTATTACTGATTAAATTTCCTCACTAGTTGTAGGTGTATACAGATTTTCTATGTCTTTGTGCTTTAGTGTTGGTAGCTTTTGTGTTTTTAGGATTTTGTCCATTTCATCTAAATTATCCAGTTGGTTGGTATAGAATTTATCATAACACTCTCTATAATGGTTTTTATTTTTGTAGAATCAGTAGTAACATCCCAAATTTCATTTCCGATTCTAGTATTTTGAATTTTTTTTCCTAGTCCATATAGCTAAGATTTTGTCAATTTAGTTGAGCTTTTCAAGAAACCAACTTTCGATTTCATTGATTTTCTCTATTGCTTTCCTATTTTTAAATTTCATTTATGTCTATGTAATCATTATTATTATTTTTTCCTTTTTCTACCTTGGCTTAGTTTGTTCTCTTTCCATTTTCATGGGTTATAAAGTTAAGCTGTTAATTTGAGAACTTATGTTTAATGTAAGTGTTTCTAGCTATAAATTTCCCCATTAGCCCTGCTTTTCATTGCCACTCATACGGTTTAGTATGTTATGTTTTGATTTTCCTTAGTCTCTAAGTATTTTCCAATGTCCCTTTTGAGTTTGTCTTTGATTCATTGGCTGTTTAAGAGAATGTTGTTTAATTTCCATGAATCTATGAACTAACTTCATCCTATTGTGGTTAAAGAAAATACTTTGCATGATGTCTATCTGTATCTTTCTAAAATACATCAAAACAATTTGTGGCCTATATATACTCTATTCTGGAAAAATTCCCATATGCACTAGAGAAGAATGTATATGCTGTTTTTGGTAGAATGTTTTGTATATGTCTGCTATACCTAGTTAGTTTATTGTGTTGTTTTAATCCTATATTTTCTCACTTAGTTTTTGTCTGGTTGTTCTATCCATTATCAAGAGTAAAGTATTAAAATCTCTAACTATTATCATGAAACTGTTTATTTCTCCCTTCAATCTCTATCCTTTGATATTAATCCAGCCACTCCTGCTCTCTCTTGGTTACTATTTGCATGAAATATCTTTTTTCATCCTTTCACTTTTAATCTATTTGTGTCATTGGACCTAAAGGGAACCTCTTGTAGACAACATATAGTTGAATAATTTTTAAAATCTATTCTGTCAATCTCTGTTTTGTGATTAGATAATTTAAACCATTTATGTTGAAAGTAGAATTGGCCCTCTGTATCTGTGGGTTCTGAATTTGTGAATTCAACAAACTGTAGATCAAAAATATTAAAAAAATGGATGGTTGCTTCTGTACTGAACATGTATAGACATTTTTTTCTTACCATTTTACATAAGACCATTTCTATACCACTTTATATAAGAGATGTTGGTGTCAGTGGAATTTGGTATTAATGGGACATTCTGAAACCAATTCCCTGTGGATATTGAGGCACAATTGTAATCACTGACAAAAAGGGACTTCTAACATTTTGCTATTTGTTTTTTACAGCCTTATAGGTATTTATTTCTTGTGTTAATGTCTCCTTTTATGTTGTTTATTCTTTGTAATAAAATACTGAAATTCTTTTTTATTCCTTTTGTATATATTCTACAACTATTTGCTTTGTGACTACTCAATATCGTAAGGATATACCACTCTAATTTGAATATATATCAGATTAATTTCAACAGCATATAAAAACGCTTGTCCTTTAGCGCTCTTTTCCAACATCTTTCAGTTGTTGGTGATATCACATAATTATAACGTTACATACTGTGTGTCCCAAAACATAAAGTAATAATTCTTTTAGATGAATTAGTCTCTCTAATTTTATAGAAAACAAGTGTGGAATTATAAACCAGGTTACAATCATACTAGCTTTTAGACTAATAATTGTTTTTTTAAATATATTAGCCTTATATCTTTTTTGGATATTTATATTTAGGTTTATTCAATACATAGAATATTATTAAAAAACAAAAAGTGGAATTATAAACCATTGTAACAATAATATTTATCTTATAATTGCTCATATATTCACCTTGACTGATATAATTACATTTCTTTTTTATTTTTTTTAAGATGGAG
The DNA here is from genome assembly GCF_000001405.40 of Homo sapiens. Taxonomy (NCBI): domain Eukaryota; kingdom Metazoa; phylum Chordata; class Mammalia; order Primates; family Hominidae; genus Homo; species Homo sapiens. The sequence goes on from NC_000012.12 coordinate 72,878,648, forward strand.
TCTTGCTCTGTTGCCCAGGCTAGTGGGGCCATCTAGGCTCATGGCAACCTCTGCCTCCCTGGTTCAAGTGATTCTCCTGCCTCAGCCTCCTGAGTAGCTGGGATTACAGGCATATGCCACCATGCCAGGCTAATTTTTGTATTTTTAGCAGAGACAGGATTTCATCATCTTGTCCAGGCTGGTCTCGAACTCTGGACCTCAAGTGATCTGCCTGCCTTGGCCTCCCGAAGTGCTGGAATTACAGGTGTGAGCCACCATGCCCAGCCTCCCTTGAGCATTTCTTGAAAGGCAGGTCTAGTGATAACAGACTGTCTTAGCTTTTGTTTGTCTAGAAATGCCTTAATTTTCTGCTTACTTTTGAAAAACAGTTTTGCCAGATATAGGAGTCTTAGTTAGGGGGAAGGAGGAAAAAAACTAAAAGTAAAATTTTTAGATTATTTATTCTGTAACTTACCAAATGCCAACAAACATAATATGGTCATGTCTTATTTCTATCATTTATAATTTAATACTTATATTAATATTTGTTTGAACATTAAGCTAGGCTTTGTGTTCCAATCTTATTGAATGCCATCTCTAGAAGGTGGTGTATTTTTATTGATTGACCATTTTATTAAGTGGCAGAGAAATACATTATATTTGTTTTTGTTAGATATTTAACTTTTTAAAAAGCATCTTGCATTTATCCATATTCATATTGCTATAAAGAAATAATGGAGACTAGGAAACTTATAAAGAAGGGTTTTAATTGGCTCATGATTCTGCAGAGTATACAGGAAGCATGATTCTGGCATCTACTTGCTTCTGGGGCAGCCTCATGGAACTTACAATTACGGCAGAAGTCAAAGGGGGAGCGAGGCCTCTCACATGGTGGGAGCAGGAGCAAGAGAGAGAGAGGGGAAGTATTACATACTTTTAAACAACCAGATCTCATAACTCACTAACTATTGTGAGAATAGCACCAAGGGGTTGGTACTAAACCATTCATGAGAAATCCACCTCATGATCCAATCACCTCCCACTAGGCCCCACCTTCAACATTGGGGACTACAATTTGACATAATATTTGGTGGGGACACAGATCCAAACCACATTATTCTGCCCCTGACCCCCAACTCTCATGTCCTTCTCACATTGCAAAATACAATCGTGCTTTCCCAACAATCCCAAAAGTCTTAACTCATTCCAGAATTAACTCAGAAGTCCAAAGTCCAAAATCTCACTTGAGACAAGGTTAGTCCTTTCCACATATGAAATAAAATGGCTGTGAAATAAAAAGCAAATTAGTCACTTCCAAGATACAATGGGGGATACAAACATTGGGTAAACTTTCTTATTCCAAAAGGGAGAAATCTGCCAAAAGAAAGAGGTTACAGGCCCCATGCAAGTTGGAAAACCAGCAGGGCAGTCATTAAATTTTAAAGCTTAAAAATAATCTCATTTGACTCCATGTCCCACATCCAGGGCACACTGGTGTGAGGAGTGAGCTCCCAAGGTCTTCAGCAGCTCTGCCCCTGTGGCTTCATAAGGTTCAGCCACTGTGGCTACCCTGAAGGCCTGGTATTGAATGCCTGTGGCTTTTTCAGGTGCAGGATGCAAGCTGTTAGTGGATCTACCATTCTGGGATCTGGAAAATGGTGGCGCTCTTCTCACAGCTCCACTAGGCAGTGTCCCTTGGAGAACTCTGTGTGGGGGATCTCCACATTTCCCATCTGCACTGCCCTACTAGAGGTTCTCCATGAGGGCTCAGCTACTGCAGCAGGCGTCTGCCTGGACATTCAGGATTTTCCATACAACCTGTGAAATCTAGACAGAGGCTCGCAGCCTCAACTCTTTCATTTTTCACACCCAGAGGCTTAACACCTCTGGGTTTGGAAGCTGCCAAGGCTTATGGCTTGCATTCTCTGAAACAGCAACTTGAGATGTACCTGGGTCCCTTTGAGCCATGACTGGTGCTAGAGTGGTCAGGATCAGGGAGCAATGTCCCCATACTGTGCAGGGCAATGGAAGCCCTGGGCTTGTCTCACAAAGCCATTCAGTCCTCCTTGGCCTCCAGGCTGGTCATGGGAGGGGCTACTGTGAAGATCTCTGAAATGCTTTCCAGTCCTTTTCTCCGTTGTCTTGATTATCAGCATTTGGCTGATAACTTACGTAAATTTTTGCAACGTGCTTGAATTCCTTCCCTGAAAATGGTCTTTTCTTTTCTACCACATGTCCAGGCTGCAAATTTTTTAATCTTTTATGTTCTGCTTTCCTTTTAAATATAAGTTCCAACTTCTGGTCATTTCTTTGCTCATGTGTGTGAGTGTAGATTATTAGAAATAGCCAGATAACATCTTAAATGCTTTACTTCTTAGAAATTTCTTCTGTCAGATACCCTATATTATCATTCTCCATGTTCAAAGTTCCACAGACCCCTACAACAGGGGCACAATGCAGCCAAGCTCTTTTCTAAGGAATAACAAAAATGACCTTTCCTTCAGTTCCCAATAAGTTTTTCATTTTCTTCTGAGACATCATCAGCCTGGACTTCATCGTGCATTCTACCAGCATTTTGGACATAACCATTCAGTTAGTCTCTAGGAAGTTCCAAACTTTCCCTCATCTTCCTATCTTCTTTTGAACCCTCCACCCTCTTACAGCCTCTGCCCGTTACTCAGAGACTAACAGAAGCCTCTTTCACCCCTAAAGAAGAAGGGTGAAAGGAAGATTCTCTAAGACCTGATCTAAGACCTAGTAATAAGGACACCAGGCTGGAGCTGTATCTATGAAAAACATGTCAGAGATGCCAAGTGAAGCAGACAAGGAATGTGGATAAAGAAAGTAATTCCATGCTTCTCCTCTCTTTATTTATTTATTTTTTTTCCAATTTTCCTTTCAGTGCTTCCTATGGACCAAACCAACATGGGAATCAAGGAGCACAGAAGTCTGAGAAACACAATTTGTAGTGAAGGAGTGAGGAAAAGATCTGAGGGCAAAATGACAAATAGGCTCATACCCTAAATCTAACAAAGAAACACATGGAAACTGCACGTTTATGCATGACTACTGAGCGAGAACAAGATAATTGAATCTGTTTGCTTGGGCTCACTTAGCGCGTAGTTGCATTTATAACTTACAAATGCCTAACCAAATTGCAAGTTGGATGGAGAGTGAGGCAGAAGGTCAATTCTGCCCCAGCGACTTAATTAATTGAAAGCAAGAAAAAAATGAAGGCATATAGCACATATGTAGAGAAAGTAAAGGAGAAAAGGAAGCTACCTTTTTCTGTGTAGGGGGTAAGAACATGCTTTCTTTTGCAGATCCACGAAGGTGAAAATGGAGGAGGGCTTAAGAACAGGGAAGAGCTGGGGCATGGAGGAGGCAAAGAGAAACAGGTAAAATTAATTCCTTCAAGGAAAATGGGGGTGGAAGTAACAGTGAAAAGATATTTATTGGCTGAGGCAAATTCGTGGGCTCAGGTGTAAGCTGTTCTCTCAACACAACATATCCATTGAATAGATTCATTTACTTACTAATCAATGCTCAATACACTATTCTTGGGCACTTCGGTTATTCTTCCCTTTATTTTTCATTTCTTTGATTATGTTTGTTTAGAAATTTTCCCAAATGTTTGTTTATTCTTTTTCCAAATGTTTGTATGCTTTTTGAATAACTTAAAGTTGTCAATTTTTCATCTATTGAGATATTAATGATTTTCTTATGTAGTTGTATATATCCTTTATATTACATAGTGAACTTTTTAATATATATTATAAACATTTATTCCAATTTTATTTTGACTTATTTTAATTAATTTTTATATTGAGAAGCTTAAACATTTAATAGTTATATTTTTGAAATTTTTACTGTCTTCCACATTTTCATGTAAATTTTGATGAAACATAATATACATATAGAAGAGCACATATGTTACAAATGTGTAAGCCATTGAATTTTTACAAACTGAAAATATAATCAGCATTTAGCTCAAGAAACAAAACATCATGTAGTACTCCCAGAGGTCTTCTTGCTTTCCTCCAGTCATAAATCCTCATCTTTGGATGGGGTAATTGTTATTTTGATTTATAACAGAATGTATTAATTCATCCTGTTGTGTTTAGATAAATAGTATCAAACAATAGATACACTTTTATGTCTGATTTCCTTTGCTCAAGATATTTATTTCATTAATTTATACTATTGATTATAGCTGTATATCATTTAGTTTCATTACTGTATGATATTCCAAAGTATGACTATCCAATTTAGGTATCTATTCAACTGCTGTTGAGTATTGGAGTATTTTCCAGTTGGGGCTATTATCAATAGAGTTTCTAGGAACATATTTTTCAGTAAATGTATTTCTCTTGAGTACATCCTAGCAGGAAAATTACTGGATCCTAGAATATGCCTATGCTCAGCTTTAGTTTTTCCACTGTTTTTAACAGTATAAAAGTTGGAAAAATATCTCTTTTCATTTCCACTTCCTCTTTTACTTACTGTTTGATATTATATCAGGATGTATTTTTCCAAAGATGTCCATAACAGTATTTCTCATCCCACATGCTCTTTGCAATATGACTTTGCCAACCTTCCATCAAATTGAGTGGTCTATAGCCCTTTCTGGTAAATTTGGGCAGAGAAACTACTTCAAAATAGAAAGTGAAGAAATAAACATATATGACTTCTGAGACTATGTCTTAGAAGTTAACAGAAGTTCTGCCTTATCTTCCTAATCACTTGATGTTTAGTCCTGAGGCTCCATGTAAAAAGTCCAACTACCCTGAGGCTTCCATGCTGTGAGGAAACCCAGGACCTGTGGAGAGACCACGCAAAGTGGCCCTGATGGGAAGCATCAACTGAATTCCCAGTCAAGAGTCAGACTAATCAATGGAGACCTCCAGATGATTCTAGCCCCCAAACACCACCACCTGTTCAGCCTTCTGATGAGGTCCTGAATATTGAGGAGTTTTATATCTCTAAATTTAGGAGTGATTTGTTATACAGGAAGTATAACTGGAACAATAGTTTAATTTTAAATTCACTAATCCACTTGTAATTTAACTTTATGTATGAGGTAGTAATTTTATGCATGAAGTAGTTGCCTTTTTTATTTCATATAATTATATCACTGACCCCAAGTATTAAAAATATTTTCTTATAATAAATTTTAATGCTTTAACTTCTTCTTTTTGGTATATTATATTCTATAAAACCTATTTCTGCATTTTTTTACTGTTCCATTAATCATTTATCTGTCTACAAATATGTAAGTATCATACTGTAAAATTATTTAGTTTTTATTATATATATTTTTTTTTCGAGAAGGAGTCTTGCTGTGTTTCCCAGGCTGGAGTGCAGTGGCGCGATCTTGGCTCACTGCAAGCTCCGCCTCCCGGGTTCACGCTATTCTGCTCCGTCAACCTCCTGAGTAGCTGGGGCTACAGGTGCCCGCCACCACGCCCAGCTAATTTTTTGTATTTTTAGTATAGACAGGGTTTCACTGTGTTATCCAGGATGGTCTCGATTTCCTGACCTCGTGATCTGCCCGCCTTGGCCTCCCAAAGTGCTGGGATTACCTGCGTGAGCCACTGTGCCCGGCCTACTATGTGTTTTAGGATAAAAGGACATTACCCTTATTACTTAATAATTTTTAGATATTTTCTTTAGGAGTCATACTTGTTCATTACTTCAGGTGAATATCTCATTCTTGACGAAACAATCAATTTTGGTTTTCTTAATGTCAAAAAATGTTTTGTTTATTTTAATAAAGCATTAAAGCCATTATGTTTAAATTGAAAATAATTTTTAGTAAGTAATGAACCTAAGAATAATGTAACATATTCTGCTATTTAAGAAAGTATAAGATTCTGCCTATTTTTATATGGTTGTGTAAAACAGGAGATTTAACACAGTCAGACTAGATGACCATTGAGGTTTTCTACTAGCTTTAAAATTCTAAATTGATATACAGTGAATTTCCCTTCCATAAATAGCAGCTTCACATTAACATTGTAACATTGGAATAAGATCCCTCCATAATTGCGCATGTTTAGTAGATCCTCAATCCTGGGCTTTGCTTCCAGTAGTGGTTGCTCTCTTATGCTTAATTTCATTCTTATAATTTTCAAAATTTTGTAAAACCAAGGCTGAGGGAGATAGTAAGCAGCTAATTCATAGAGTAAAGGGTTCCTGTCAATGACATTTATTTGCTTTTACTTTTAATCTTTATACAACTCTAAAAAATGTATATATTTTTTATTAACAGGTGTTCTGATTATCACAGCCAAGTATTAGGTTTTATACTTCCTTTAATTGGTAGAATGTGTTATTCACCACCCCGTAATCAAAAGTACTGATTCTAATGGGGTGTAGAGGAGAAGAACTCCTTTAATAATCCAAGAGTTCTTCACTCCTATGTGTGCAGTTAATTAATTTATTTCCCTCGTGGAAATCATAGATTTTTCAGTTCACTGTCCATTTCCACTCAAGGTAAAAACATAAAGGTCAGCAAGAAATGGTTAATGACCAGAAAGGCTGCAAACTAAGGAAATTTAGAAAGTGTGAAATTGTACAATTTCATAAGTCTGTTATTTAAAAACATATCAAAGTTTGACAAAATGCTCAAATTTGCCAATACATGACATGTGAGTGATCTAAAGTAGATTTTTGCCTGGTGTTTTTTTAGGTATAAAGAAATATGTAATTCACAGGAATCAGTCGAGACAGTACAATGTTGGATGACAGACAGCTTTTGAATATATAAAGTTCAGCATTTCCCCAATTGGGTTTAAACAGACTTCCCCTAGGAGCAGTTTCTGCCATAGAGTATTTATTACCTTGAATAATGTGACAGAAGGAAATGGAACAAAGGAAATGATTTTTACCAAATAAAAGCAGCCATCAACTCTCAAAAGATAAACTGTCCATATTTTAGGAAGAATACAGTTCAGTAGAAAATACTGGTGTTAAAAGTGGGAGTTGAACAATGAGAACACATGGACACAGGGAGGGGAACATCACACACCGGGGCCTGTCGGGGGGTGGGGGGAAAGGGGAGGGATAGCACTAGGAGAAATACCTAATGTAGATGATGGGTTGATGGGTGAAGCAAACCACCATGGCACATGTACACCTACGTAACAAAATTGCACGTTCTGCATATGTATCCCAGAACTTAAACTATAATAAAAAAAAAGATATATATAGAGAGAAAATACTGGTGTTTTAATGACAATTTGGAAAAGCAGTTTTTATTTGCACTGTGCAAAGCAAGCACACATATTTAGTGTTTCAACTCAAATATCCACAGCTAGATGTCTAAAAATTGTAAAAATCCACAAAATGGTCTTCTTTTTGTTAGCTCTGCCTGAATAAACAAGGAGGCCAAACTCCCTAAACACAGTTTCTCAGTACAGGCAGGAACAGTAAATAAGAGTGGCTCTTAGAGAAACTAAGGCAAAGATGAAAGCTCAGGGAATTCCAGTGGGCTACTAGAAGCTGTCGTATTCTACCTTGCTCTTCGAAGATAGGGAGCCTAAATCACCGTCATCAAGCTTCAAGGAAAATCAGCTGCTGGCTTTGTTCTTGGGAGGAAACATTGGTTTTATCCTAACCCCCAAATCTGAAAGTGGCTCAAGATTACTATTCCATAGAGGAAAAAGCATGTAACAAAGAAAAGCTATTTTTCAGAAGCTAGAGCAGAAAAGGAGAAAACTTGTTGAAAATTATTTTTCTGTCTCTCATTTTTTTTTTCTCTTAATGGAAAGTGTGTGTCTCTTTTCTGATCCAAGATAGGCTTATTAGGTTTGTAAAAGAGAAATAGAATGCTTCTAGGGTGGGATGGAGAGAAAATATAGATGCGAAGTCAAGTTTAAGGACCTGCACATTGATAGATTCAAGTGCCCTCCCCCTGCGTATCACCTACTTGTCTAAAATTTCAAATACCCCTTTTTATGTCTAAAATCATTCTTAAAAATATTAAAGTCTCTTCTACTTTAAAGCAACTGGGGTTTTTATTGTTAAATTATATTATTGCTTGGCAAAATCACATGGCTTACATTTATTGTCAAGTTGCTCAAATGCACTTGGCATCAGAACTGCAGTTTTGTCTAAAATCTCTGTGGTTGATTTTGAAGATATACAGCCTTGATTGTAAGACTAGTCTTTAAATGGGCTGATTCTCCACTGTGCAGCTGCCGCTCCTTTTATGGCTTCTGAGTGTATTATATTGCTTACAGAAATGGAATGTTCAGAGGCAACAAGAGATAACGTATTAGAAGCCATGTAGATCAGCATATATGTATCAATTTTCAATGTGATTTCAGAGTACTGCTGCAAAATTCCGTGCAATATCTCATATTAGGTACCTGTAGAAGTCAACACTCATATAATAAATAATTCAGGAATGCTAAAAATTATTATGCACTTAGACAAGTAACCAGTAAAATTCTAGACATAAGAGGAAGCAATAGTAATCAATGTCATTTATGATATCATCTTCCTCATGGAGATATTCATGGCTCCTTGGTTCATTGAATAAACTCTCTGGGGTTTAGCTTTATTAACATAAGTTGTCATAAGAACACTTATCTCAACCTAAATTGGAAAAATGGAAATGCTCAAATTAAACTCATATTTAACATATGAAACTTCCAGACAACATTCCGCTGACAGTGAATATAATTCAAATATATTATATTTTCTTATGTTTAGTAGAGCTTTTAGCTATCTGTCTCAAACATGTGAAAATGAATCATTTTATTTTTGGCCCTGCAATTTAAATGATGCAGTGAAGAAGAATCTTAAGTTTTTTAAGTTTCTCAGCAAAATAAACTATTTATTGGTCAAGAGGCTCATAAGAATGCTTTTCCCAAAAAGCTTCATTTTTTGAGAAATAAAAATAAATCTCATAATTTAATATTTATTTTTCACAAGATAAATCATCTTTTAAAATATGGCTCTGTATTTTGAAAAGCCCATCTTTAGTTTAACAGTGTCTGATTCTGACTCCGTGAGCTTCAACCCTCACTTAGATCAAGTCTTGGGCATAAGTCATCTGTTGTCTAGGGCAATGTCTTCTCCTAGGAGCAAGAGCTCCTTATACTGCGAAAAGCTTTTTCATACTTGCTATCCTTCCCTCATACTTTTCCTTACTTTTTGATTCAACTCACATCATCCTCTTCAGCAGTCACTAGGACAATCTTTTGATTCCAGGTGGAATCTTTTGATTCACAAAAGAAATTATTTTCAAAAGGAAACTCCTTATCCCTATGGGGTTATAAGACAGCCAGAGCGAAATTTCTATTAGATTAATAAACTTGTTTACAGTCTATCATCAGGTTTCCATGCAGTTATAATAGTTGTGATCCTAAGACACTGAAACCATGAAAAAAAATTGATGAATATATAGTTTAGATAATCTCTCTACTGGTATTCACATGTTGTTTCTCTATATATATTTGCCATAACCCATATCCACTAGTCTAGGAAATACAGTTTGTAGTAGAACAGTGCTGTCAGCTTAGTAAAAAGTCTTAACAATTCTATTTTTGTGAAAAAGATGCGGTGAGAAGGATTCGTTTCTTTTTATTTGCTATACTAAAGATATTCTTTCTTTATAGTTCTGTCTTTATATTTATCAGTGTGTTGGAATGATATATTTACCCAAAATGTTAATATTAAAGATTAGTGAACATAAAAATAACCCATTCATTTAGTTTATTAAAAGATAATATACCAGATTAGAATAATAGAACATTATCTACAAAGGCCAAATCATCAATAAGTGTCTAAATTAGGAAAAAAATAATAAGGATGTTCATAAGTGATGATGCAATTTATGCTTTTGTTATTGACTTAAACCATTTTATTTATTAAAATGTCTGTATTTCATTGAGGTACAGACTCTAAAATTAAAAATGTGGCTGACCTATACAGGAGTTTTAGAATTTCACAGCCTTGCATTTCACAGAAGATGTCTAGCTGCTACTTCCATACCCTGACTCTGTAATGAACACATAAGTTAGACTTTCATAAAGATTTATCTTTAAAAATAATCATGTAGATTGAACCCTGACTAATAAAATTCACTAATTGTCTTGCCTTAGTGCAGCTATTGGTCAGAATTAAATATTTAGCAGCTCCATCTTTTTAAGGCTCTTTTCCAGTGTTTCTGTAGGGACATTGGTGATGTAATTGGTTGCTTTGGTAAGGAAGTAACTCATTGAGTCACTCAGGGTTCTATTATATGACAATAGGATGTGGCAACGGTTAGGGAGAAACATTTATCTGCTCTTTCATTCACAGAGCAAAGACTGGGGAGGAGACTGACTGTTAGCTCTCTTAGGGAGAATATTGCATAATTTTAAAAGAAGATAGCTAGTGGGTTATGAGTATGATAAGTACAAACATTTCTATATGCTTTCCTGAAATAAATGATTTTATGTAATGATATATAAAACCTCACTGATATTTATGAATAAATAGTATAAATAGTAATTTATAAATAGTAATGAATAAAACTTCAATGTAGATTAAACTATGTGTCTCATTTAGTTACTGTGATAGCAAGATTATAGAACATTGCAGATGACATGCTTTTTCATAAAACACACTATGGAACAACAACATCTCCCTCCAAAAACAACAACAGCAAAGTACATTGGCTTATTAATGCATTTAAATAACTGAGTAAAATTGTAAAGTTCATACAAATGTCATAATAATGTAGAATCCCCCAAAATATCTTACATCTGATTATTGCAAGTTCTTATAGCAGAAGCAAGATTTACAAGGGTCTTTACCTGTTTTGATCTGAGAAAAATGTTACTTAGGTTTTCCTCGCTATTTAAAAAGAGAAGTAAATTGTTTTATTTTTCTTCCAAATGAAAAAATTGGTAATACGCCATTTCTATTCTCTGAGAAGTGAGCATATTTTCATGTGGTATGTGCTTCCTTTAGATATGCATCAAAACATTGACATAACATGCAATTTAAAAGCATCTCTTGATGCACTACAGTGACAGGTTTAATTCATATTCGTTGCTTACATATAGTACTATAATGATGTAAGGTTAAAAACAAACAGTCTATGTAGGTTATTTCACTGATGTGCATTTTCCTGGGGAAAAATTTAAAATTTAGCAAAATGGCTAATTCACTTGCATTATTTTGTTTGCATCATTGTCTTTTTGTATAATTTAAATGGACAATTGATAAAGAGCAAGCTCAGCCAAAACTGCAACAGATGTTGCCCGTCATACTTGTGGGCTGGAGACCAAAAGCCCTTTCACCTCTTTTACAGACCCTTGAGAATAAAGTAATTGAGGAATTTGGGAGGCTATTGATTGAAAGCTCTGTGGTATCTCCCCATGTGCACTGAGACCAAAAAGGCACATAGAGAATGAGCTTGGTCTTTATTTGCTTTGCAAAGTGACTCAAATAAAGAGATTAGAGGGAAGGGGCCATTGTGTCCCAAATTTAGGTTGATACAGATCTTTAGTTCTTAGTATTTTTATTTTCAGATTGCCACCAAATGAGAATTTTAAAGAATAGCAACCTCTACAAAAGAAAAGTAGTGTTATTTTCTTATGAGAATTAAACAGAAGCACCATAAACAACCTGCTAGTTCAAATACATATGCTATAGTGAATATTTTTTGATTTAAAAAAAATCCTGACCCACAAACGGAGGGTTTGACCATTAATTCGATCCATTACTTTGATGCTGCAAAATGCTTTTTCAAGGATAATGTAGAGTGAAAAATCAGTGAACTGCTGTGGTCTTAAATATGAGCCATAATGGTATATGGAAACTCGTCTTTCTTGTAAAAGTTGTTATTATAAAACCCGGTTACGTTTTTAAAAAATAAATGTTAATAGATGAACTAAATAATTTCCTTTGACTGATTCAGATGAAGAATCTCAATTTTTTGGCATATTTATTGGTAAGCAGGTAATATGGCAAAGTAGAAAAAATAGCACTAGTGAGAAGTAGTAAAAGGGGAAACAGTACATACCTATTAAAAAATAGAATTTTCTAAGCACCAAATCAGACACATAAACTATTTTAAATTTATTCTTGTTTAAGAATACTTAAAAATCTCTGATAAGAGCAGAGATGTAAATGAATATCTTTTTGACATACAAAACCAATATGTGAATAAAACTTTGCTGATTTTCTATGTAATACAAATCCTTTAAAAAGCTAATAAAATGATTACTATCTACAATTTAGGCTCCCTGCACATGATGAAATGCTGAAGCATATTCTAATACTCTTAGAAAGTGCTTAAAATCTTCAAAAGTGGATTTAAGTGCTCAATCACTTTCGCTTCTTTATGGAAAGAGTGACGAATTTTTACATATAGGGTACCCATGTGTTGTTTACTTCCAATCTGTGAATTTCGAAAGCAACAGAAGTAGAAGGAAAAAAAAAAATTCAGGAAGGCATATCCTGTGGATCCGCCTTCTTGACACATAATTTGTAGGTCTTGATGTGGCTGCATTGATAAAATGCTGGGCGTGTAATGAAGTGAAAATAAAGGCTGCCCACTGCCTAGCTTTCGAACAAACTTAGATTGGCTATGTGTTCACAAATCAATGCTTTTCTCATTGAAAGATAATACATTTTGGTAATGCTGGAGAAGTTAGAAGCTAGAGAGGTCACTGCAGGGGGTTAAAGGAAAGCTACAACAGTAGTCAGAACAGCAATTATTCCTAAAATAACTTGGTTTGACAAAAGGAGTAACAGTGTTACTGGGCTAGAATTACTTTTTTACTTTATTATGCATATTAGTAATTAGAAGAAAATGTTGGCAGAAACCAAAATTTGGAAAGAGAATTTTCTTGGGCTGTCTTTCTATGATAATAAAACATCCAAGGCAAAATAATTAGTCAGTTTTGTCTATACGGTGCCAAATAACCTATATCAAGTTTACACAAAGCCAAATATTGATTATTTATGAATGCTTAATGTGAATCTGTTCATATTCAGAAGTCAATCTGAGAAAAAATAACAACAAAAAATTAGGTACCTTAAAAAAATTTGTGATATACAATTGATAAATTAGTAATCACTTCTGGGGAATAATTTCACTTACTATTTGTGCATGTAGTCCCTAAACAGCCCAGAAATAGCTCAAATCTTCTAGTTTATAACTTAAGAAAAATCACGTAAGAAAATCCCAAATAACTGTAAACAGAAAGCAGAGTAGAGGTTTGCTAAATCTCTGGACAACCGCAACGTTTTCTCAGGACTGCTATGAAGACATTTCTTTTAGTCTTCTCATTTTTTTTTAATACAAAGTAATACTTCATACACAAAATTATGCTAATTCCTGGTCATGCTTCTATACACCCTCTTTCCTTTTTTTTTAATAGAACAAGTATCTCATCTGCTTGTAATTGGCATGCTGCTGCCTTTTTGAGACCTTTGTCCACTGAATATGATATCATATTTTTTTTTTGTTAGAGGAGAGCATCTTGCTCTGTTACCCAGGCTGGAATGCAATGATGCCATCATAGCTCACTGCAGCCTCAAACTCCTGGGCTCAAGTGATCCTCCTGCCTTGGTCTCCCAAAGGGTTGGGATTACTGGCATAAGTCAGTGCACCTGGTTGGATATTATTTCTATTAACACCGAGACACCTTCAAATAATCAGTAAGCAACCCCACCACCAATAATAAAAGTACTTTTTAAAATCTTCAACAACTCTACATTGCCCAACAGCTATTGACTTCCTTCTCCTCTTTACAGGAAAACCTTTGTAAGAGATGTGTACACTTTTTTCTCCATTTCTTCACCTTTTGTTCAACTTTTTTACCTGCTGTGAAATGGCTTCCACTGCCTAAATTTCACCAAAACTGCTCTTTCCAAGGTCACCAGTGGAATACTAGTTGCTAAGTGTAAATTACTGTTTACATTTTTTTCTTTAGCTCTCTGCACCATTTAACTCTATACAATCCTCTCTGTTTTGAATAATGCTATCTTTCCTCCTGAGATTCAGTGGTGGCACATTCTACCAACTTGATCTTACTTGTCTGTTTACTTCTTAATACTATTTTTATTTTAGACTCTTCTCTCTTGAATATTAGTTCCTACATGATTGATTCTGCCTTAGAACCTCTTCTTATCTTACTCTATAACTCTTGCAGGATAATTTCATCTACTCCTAGTGCTTCCATCATCATCTCTTTCTAATGATTCTCTATATTAGTCAAGAATATATTCAGTTACAAACAAACTAACCAACAAACACTTTTGCTACTGTGGCTTAAGTAAGAGAGGATATGCTGCTGTTGTCATTATACTTATTATTATTATATAATGTAAGGTCTAGGAGGGAGACAGGGCAGGGCTTATGCCACCATCTCAATGTTTCCCTTTCTATCTTTCTTGTCTGTCATCCACAGCATCTAGTATTTTTGTCCTCAGGTTTACATTTTAGAGTTCAGGCTTTAGGTCTAAGTTCTGAACTTTATAAAAGGAGGAAAAGGAAGAGGAGTCACATTAGAATTTTCCTTATGTCTTACTGGCCATAACTGTGGCACACGCTCATTCACACCTTTATTGGAGGGTAAGAAATCAAGTTTTCATTTTAATAGCTTCTAGAGTAGATCATGATGAAATAGGGCTAAATACGCTATTTGATTCAACTATTCTACAATGTTTGCTATCTTCCCAGATATTTCTTCTGATCTATCTTGATCACTCCTTTGACCTCCAGACTATCTATCTATCTATCCACACATACACCTCCAGAATATCCACGCATTCACACACACTAGCATGTTCACAATCACATGTTGTCATTTGGCTGTCCCTTCTACAACTCGGGCTTGACACTACAGTTAACACTTCTCTGTCCTAAAACCCACTTGTTAAGTCCTGACAATCCCACCCCTATCAATTCTAATACTTTCTATTTCCACTATTAATTTCTGTTTGAACACTATCTTATCCACTACAAAAACTGTTTCCAGAATTTTTTTCTCCTTAAAGTATTATCTACATAACAACTGTAATGATCTTTTTATATAGAACTCTGGTTACAGATAGAGATACTATGTGTCTGTGTTTCTGTCTTTCTTTCTCTCTGTTGATCATACCAGCAATAGGAGACATTCTCCCTGTCATTTGATAGCTAAATATCTTCTGTGTAGATCTAATTCTCTGTGACAGGGTTTTAAGGTCTACAGGTGGAGCAGGTAGGAAGAATGGCCAGAAGGGGAGAAATAGAATAAAAACTCTGTTTTCTTTTTCCCTTTTGCTTCTGGATTTAACTGCTTTTTCTGGGGAGCCTATTCCTTTGAAGTTACTGTGTACTGTACTATACTATTCATAAATTAATCATAAGTCATACTTAAATCTTCTTTTGGCTCCTTTTTATCCTCAGTTTGCTCAAACTTAGAGAAATGAGTGATTAGCACCCTCAATTTTTCAAAATTTTCTAACCTGAATTTAGTTCCTAAGTGATCCTTGCATGTTTGAATGGTGGCGGAAATGTTTCTAACTCCTTTCCATAATTCTCAGAAACATTCTTTCTCTGTGTTCCCTAACTCAGTTGGGGTTGCCAGACTTAGTAAACAGAATATTTTAAGTGGCAATGCAAACCCCATTGCATTGCCTAACACCTATCCAGGTTCCTAAGGTACAAACTGGGTATGACTTTGAAACTTTTCTTTGCTCTTCGCTTTCTTTTCGTTATTTTTCCTATTCTTCCTATCAAAATGCTCTCAGATGCCTCTAATTCTTGTTTTCTTACTGCCCAAACCCTCAACTAAACTGTCATAATCTCTCTCCTGTCTTATTTCTGGAACTTCTTAGCTGCTTTCTCTGCCTACTGGGCTTACTTCATTCCATTTCTCTATACTGTAGCCAGAAAACTCTTCCCAAAGTGCTAATCTAATATTACAATTTTATTTGCTCTTTTGGATGAAGTTCAAACACCTTACACTGGCACGTAAATTCATCTGTGGCATGGGCTTTGTTCATTTTTCTAGAACTTTCTATCAGCACTGTAAAGAATAAAAGAATTGGAATTAAGCAGTAGGAGAGGGAAGTGATGCAAACTATTTCAGATCAAAGAAATAATATAGGTGAGAGAGAGCTTGGCATATTGGAAGATGTAACAAAAGGTAAATATAGATGGAAAAGGAGGAAGGAGTGGGAATGAATGTGGGTGATGGAAGAATACAGTCACTGATTCCCAGGCTTTTGCAATCTAGAGTCTTTTTTTCCTCTGGGAAACTTGCCATCAGCTTAGAAGAATGGGTTAGGTATCCCTTTTATGGTTTCCAATAGAGTCTTACCCTTTTCCACTGCATCCCGCACTGCATTCTATAGGAACTGCCAGTTAAGCTCTCTGCCACCCTGCACTCCCTCCCCACCAGTTTATGTTCTTCATGAAGATAGGGCCGTATCTGTCTTATTTATTTATCCTCACCACTTTGCACATTCCTTTGATTCAAGGTACTCAGGAAGTATTTGTTAAATAGATGAATGAATGCATTTATCTATCAGGAAAAAAATCTCATTATGTTATTCCTCTGCTGAAAACTTGTTTAAACTTGGGGTCTCAGAAAGCAAAATGTGAGACAAAAAAAATAATCTGCTATAGTTTTATTAAGGAATGTAACTATAGAAAGCTCAAGTGAGGAAAAAGGCAAAAAGTGAAGTGAGGGAAGAAAGGAGAGCCAATATAAAGGTGAAAGCTGGCTACCACTTAGTATCAAGAGCAGCTGTCTGCTTAAGTTCATGGATTTCAGAAGCTGTATTAATTACAGGGTTTCACAGCCATTCTTCTTGGGGGACATAAGGGAGGAGAATATCTTCCACCTTCTATATTTCACTAGTCAAAGTTTGTCCCAGTACTGTTTTTAGATATAAGGGGCTGTTGTTTGGCTCCTACATTTTGTAGAGTTCCACACCATTTACTTCCTTCTCTGGCTGGGCCTTCGCCCACAAATTGAAGAGTTCATTCACCTGGGGGATTGTCTATACAAAATACATGCCCGGTCAGAATGCATGCCCTCCTTTTCTGACCACACACACTCTGGGTACCTGGAATTCACTGCCCAAATAGCTGCAACGACAATTCTTCTTCAGCTTGCACGTCTCTTTCCTTAGTCTACCCTCCCATGACAGACTAAAAAATTGGTTTCTGTACCTCCAAGCCTGAGAATTAGCCAAGAAGCAGCTATTGGTGTGGTGCATGGACCCAGCTTGAATGTATGGTTTGAGTGTTCATACAGGTACATATAAGGCCACTCACAGTGCAAAGCTGCTGAGCTAATCAATGGTAGAGAGGGAATGCAAGTGGGCTCATAAGCCCTGGACAGTGTAATATGTTTTTATGCTGTGGTGGCTTAAAATTCAGAAATCTAGAAATTCTTTGACACATTTCCAAATTTTGAACTAATTTGTTACAAAGCAATAGGTAACTGATACATGTACAAAACAACAAAGAGTCTGAACATTTTTATTTCAAATTGTCCTTCACATTGTTATTAAGGTAGGATGATGGAACATATTTAAGAGCTTGTTAGGTTAATTTTCAGTTCTTAGTATTTAGTACCTTTAGATGTGTGGAATGACGCATCCATTTGTACTCTTGTCCTCTAAGGATGGGCCTAACCTTCCCCACATTCTTGGTTGCACTTCAGAGGCAACAATCATTTCCTGTGACATGTCGTGCTTCAATTACAAAAGGGAAGCCATGGAGTGTGAGGCAAAAAGCACTCAGTGAAGGCTTGAAACTTCATGGTTTGTTTCAAACATGAATACAGTTGTTCGCGTGTCCCTGTGTAAAATTGTTCTGAACCCACACAAAGTTGATCTCTGCAGCAGTAGCTTGGTTGGAGAGAAAAAATGGCAGGAGGTCCCAGAGATAAGTCAGTCCAGACAGATCTGCAGTGGTATAGAAGAAGTGACTGATATAAAACCCTTTAGTAGTCACCCATGACCCTCAATATAAAGTCCAGACCCTTTAAGATCTGGGTCCCTCTTTACTGTCTGTCTTCCTCTAATGACACTTCTACATCATGTTATAGGCTCCAGCAACATCGAACTACTTTTGATTGCTTAAATGACCACGCTCCTTTTTTTCCCTCTGCACTTTTGAGTATCCCTTTAATCTTTCAAAAATATTTTTCACTCCCCTTCTCTCTTAGCTAACCCCTATCAACAACAAACCCTTTCAGAAGCCACTGTGATACCTTCATAACTCTTTCTGATGTTCTCATTCATTCTTCCGTAACACACTGCACTTATGTTATTTTCACATTATAATGTAACCACGTGGTTGCTTACAGTCACAAAAACTAAAATCTCTTTAAGGGCAGAGTTGGTGTTATTCATTCCTGATTCCCCAGTGACAGGCATTGCACTTGATACTTGAAACCCATATTTAGAATGTAAAATTTTAGTGAGCCTATGGAATGATTCTGTAGAAGGATTTGGATTGCTAAAACTCTAGGGGAAAAGTGTTTGCATTTCCTTTTAAAAAATACTGTCTGAGAAGTAAAATACAACAAAGCCAGTAATGGCCCAATGTCTTATTAGTGTACAATGGTGTTTTAAAAAGAACGTCTTTCAGAGGTACTAGAGATACTATCAAATGTGATGTAGCAATTACTATCTTAACTACAATACATGGTGTAAATCAATGGTGACATTAAATCTTGTCTAAATGACCAGAACATGAGCTACAGCTGTCTTTGTAGCACATATTTTTCTTTGGTTGATTTCACTCCCTTAAGGCTTGTA
The DNA here is from genome assembly GCF_000001405.40 of Homo sapiens. Lineage (NCBI taxonomy): Eukaryota > Metazoa > Chordata > Mammalia > Primates > Hominidae > Homo > Homo sapiens. Next base: position 72,897,398 of record NC_000012.12, read on the forward strand.
GTTTGTGAACAGAGGTTTTTAATGACAAAAAAAATCAGGGATCATTTTATTTCAGTCTTTCAAAAGTGATCTCCCTAGGAAAGCCTACAGTCTAGAAGTAAATACCTAGTGGCTTACAAACATATTTTCAATGACTCTTGGAGTGATAATCTAGTAGAATAGAATTAGCTTTTTATCCATGGTATACATATTTTTAAATGTCTCAAAGCAGTAAAATAGTGAATCCTCATCTTTGTTTTGTGATTTCAGAGATGCCTAAAAAACCGCAAATATTCAAAACAAATATGTTTAATTTCCTGAGTATTTTTAATAGGCTTTACATATGGCTATTCTCAGAGAAAGTGATGATCTAATAAGTAATCATAGAGCTCAATTTAAAAACATTTTGGAAGCATTGATATTAAATGTAATTGCTCTTCTTCTGTCCCAAAGAGATTAGGTTAAACATTAAAATCCAAAAGAAATATGATATTCACTTGTGTCTTTCTTCCCTTAAATAAATAATTACATAGCTCACCTTTATGAAAGTACTCTGCATAAACATCATCAACTCTAAATTTATGAATACTGTAAATTCTGTGAATCTGTGATTCTATCACTTTTTTTTTCTGGTAGCCTTTCTAGTGAACACATCATGTTCTTACTGTAGACGAGGAGAGGAGGTGGCGACAAAATGCTCATTTCACTTGAGTTCCTTCTATGATAGAGACTGTATCATACACCAGAATCTATCCCTTTTGTAGTTCTAAACCTATTGAAAATAAGATTTAAATACAGTCTTTTTTTCCATCCAACTTGCATGTTACTTTTTTTTTCTCGATGCAGGTAAGTGAGGTTCGATTAGGTCCTTATATCTTAATCGCTTATATCTTCTATGGTTACATATACACTTTAGTAAACGTCATTTCTTTTTCCTTTTAATGTTGTCTATTTACATGTGACACTTGCTATTCCCTTATTTATTTTACAATAAATAAATTATTAAGCTATTCAAACTTATTTTCTGTATTTTATATTGTTGCACCTATTCTTATTCCTATTTATCTTAAACTTATTAGTAACCTATTTCAAAGGAAAGTAAATGGAAAATAGCATTCACTTATTTGAATAACAAATGGAGCAATGAAGAATTCCAGGTATAATAACATTATGGATATTCAGTTTTTGGAAAAACATTAATGTATAAGAATTCAAGTTGTGGCAAAATTTAAGGTTACATTCTCAGTAAACCACAGAGATAGATAGAGAAGTGGAATCCAGTGATGTGACTAATTTAGTTTCTATGGCTTCCATATGCCCACTTGTTATACGAATATTTAAAATCTGTGTTGATTTTTCAAAGTCAAAAAACCTTAGATGATGCTTTAATGAATCTTGTATCATGGGAAGAGAAGGGAGGAAATTTTCAAATGCCAGCACAAACAAACATGAATGCTATCATTGTTTATAGAGGAGGGAATCACATTCTTTTATGCTCTCAGTATTCTATTAGTAAATAATCAATGTAAGTCACTCTCTCCCTGGAATATAATTAAAAGCCTGCTACCAAAATACAAGAGTGTTTTATGTATGGATATAGAAATACGTATTCTCTTAGGAATAAGTGATCCTCTTTCCCGTTTTCCCTACCCCAATAAAAGAGTCTTAATCTGAGGTTATGTGCACTGGTATATTCCTGTGAGAAATGACATTTTAATGCATAGGATCCTAAAGAGTTTTTCTATGTTAGCTTGAAACAGGTGCAATTAATTTGTGATCCTTTCAATTATCTTGCCCTAAATGCATGCATTTAACTGGAGTATCAGTGTAGTGTGGAGCAGGAAAATTGTAGCTTCTTGAAATCTCTGTTGTATTCAGATAGCTGGTGTAGATTCATTAGGAAAATTAAGAAAACCAGACAGGCAATTTTCCAAAACATATTCTGTCATTTGAGGTGAGTTGACTGCCCTCCTTTTCCCTGCCACTTCACTGCACTAGTGAGGGTGGTTTCATATGATGCAGCACAGTTCCCTTTTAAGATGACAGGGTAGAAAATCTCTAGGGGACTTGGACTGCCAAAGCCCTCAAGACCTCTTCAACATGTCCAATAAACACACAGATCAGTGAACCAAGAGATAATAGATAGAAGTCTCCAGCAAAAACAGACCATTGTAGATTCCATGGTGGGATCTTAAAAGGACAGAAATATTGTAGTGACTAATTCAATAATTTGCTTCATCATGTACTTCAGAACAAATGCAATTAAAAAAACTGAAAAATTTTAAGAAATAGATATTTTTGGAGTGTTCAGGAAGGCTTTTTTTGAATTTCCCTTTGTTTGGGAAATATAAGTTTAATTAACTTTTTTTTTTCCATGAAATAACTCCAAGGGAAAAATAGAAACATAAGTAGTAGCTGTCAATGTGCCTGGGATCCCTTTGCTTCATACACATGTTCAGGGCCTGTCTTTCTCTGTTTCTCCCACTTCCTCAACTTCTTTTACATAAATTGTACACGGTAGATGGGAGAGGTGTTTCTTTTCATTTGTAACATATATATTCTTTTGTTAATTCCTGGTCTAGTTTAATTTATTTATCAAATATTCTATTAATTTGCTCATTTCGCTATTATCTTAGTTCTAGAGTCCTTATATTCAAAATATTATAGTTCAACTCCCTGGGGAAACAAAGACCCAAAGAGGAAGGATATTTCAATATCACATCACTGATAATGGAGATTCTAGGACTAGATCCCAAGGTTTGCTTCCATGATGAGAGGTTTGAATAACTGGGTTCAGGGTCCAGGTCTGTCTTTTCACCTCTCAATGTCTTAGTTCTGCATTTATAAAATAAGGTGTGGTGGCTCACACCTGTAATTCCAGCACTTTGGGAGGCCGAGGTGGACGGATCACGAGGTCAGGAGTTTGAGACCAGCCTGGCCAACATAGTGAAACCCTGTCTCTACTAAAAATATAAAAATTAGACAGGCATGGTGGCGCGTGCCTGAAGTCCCACCTACTCGGAGGCTGAGTCAGGAGAATCGCTTGAACCTGGGAGGTGGAGGTTGTGGTGAGCCAAGATCATAACACTGCACTCCAGCCTGGGCAACAGAGCAAGACTCTGTCTCAAAAATAAAATAAAATAAAATAAAATAAACAAATAAATAAGGATGGTACCAGCTGTTTTGCATACTCACAAAAAATGTAGAGAATAAGATATGATGATGTATGTGACAGTATTGAGTAATGGTAAGTGGTGGTCAGGTGTTTGCAATATTTAAAAATAAAAAGTGATACAATCATAGTACCTGGACAGCCCTGCTTTCCTGAAGGCTGCTGCCCCGAGTTGAATAACTTCAAGGAATTTTCTATGGTAGAGTCTGGTAATCTCAAATTATAAAACAGATTTTTCAAGCAAAATGGACAAAAGTAGATCTGTTTCTCATTGGCAAACTCTTATTACTTAGTCTCAGTGGCAAAGTTAAAGTTTTTCAGCTTAGAAAGGGAACTCTTAATGTCATCTAATTTGGAACACCTACATTAGTAATACTGGCATATTCCTCCTGTAGGTAAAACCATAGAGGAAGTGAAATTACAATCCCAGGCTTTCCTAGCAGTCATGGAGTCAGAGTTATGGGAGTCAGTTAAATGAATCAAATGTTTGGTGCTATCAGGGATGCATAGTTTTTTGGCTCCATTTCCATGAATGTCAAACAATATAAATTTATTAATCAGTTACTGTGTGTCAGTCATTGTACTAAGTACTTTGGAAGAATTATCTTATGGAATACTTACAGCCATCCTTGGCAGAGAACAACTTTATTATACCTATTTGGCAGAAAAGGAAGCAAGGCTTAGGAAGACTGACTGTCTATCACAACTCCAGTCATATTTCCCATGCCTCCCCTGCATGTTTGCTGGCCTCCAACCACTCTGCACTTCTACCAGTTCTTCGAACACCTCAGCATCCTCTCACTTCTAAGCCCTTTCACTCACTATTGTCTCTGCTAGGAATGCCCTTCTCACGGAGGTTCTCATAGCTATCCCCTTTGCTTTCCAGTGTTGACTTCATAACCACTCATGGGGATTTTCCTAGCTCATATTTAAGATTTCCAATATAGCCCCACCTAACATTTTATATACCCCAAACCTACGTTATTCTTTTCTTACTTACTAGTAGAAAACATGCTAGATAATTCACTTACATGTGATTTTATTGGGTATATCTCCTATTAGAAAAAAAGCTTCACGAGGATTTTTATCTGTTTTGTACACTACTGTATCCCCAATAGACCCTACCTGACTCTGTGAATGCTCAATAAATATTTATTGAGTGATTGAATGAAACCACGGCCCAAAGGGATAGCTTGAGTGGGGAAACCATCCAGGCCATTAAACATTATTTATTCCTTCTGTGAGCAGTAGAAAGGGCCAGTATTACTGACATTGCTGCTGTGATCTTCCTCAGGCTATGAACCTTCCATTACTGACTACCCCCCAATTAATGGATTTTTTTCTTTCACTTTCAGTCTTCTCTTGTAATTTGAGAAACAGCCTTTAACAGTACTGTTTTACAGGAAGTTCTAACATGAGAAGATAACTTAATTAAGGCAAATAACACAGTAAAATTGCTTAAAAGAGGAGGAAAATTTTCATATGAAATCATGAAAAAAATTGGATTTTTACATTTTGAAATTGACAATAAATTTATTTCATCTTATATTTAATAAAATATCTCATAATTGTCATTAAGTTCTGTCTTTTCAAAGAATAATGAATTAAATGCTATTTTCTATAAAAATGTATGATAATGGTATGACATAATGGAATTCTTTACTTTATTTGGACTTTGTCAATGTGACTGTAAGAGATTCATTTTTATAAAAGTATTTGAGGTTAATTTATTTTTTTCAAGGTCTTGTCTTGATCTTTTAATGTCTTAATACTTTCCATTTAGAATGTTTTGTGTTATTATCCCCGTTGACTTCATCTTTTTCTCTTTATCACTTTTAATTTATCTAACTGCTGTATCTTCATCTCCGATACCATGTTCAAACATTTCATGAAATCCTTCGTTTATTTTTATTGTATTACTGTGTATTAATAGATGCTGGGCAGAATCAACCAGAGACTGAGTGCTGAAGGTAGAGGTTAGACAGATAAGATAATAGCAGAGTTAAAGAGGGAGGGAGGTGTTAAATATATTAGTAAAAAAAGTTAAGATTTTTTTTCTATGCAACTTCAAAGCATAGAATCAGTTGCTGAATGTTCTAAAAATACAATTCCTCTAGTGATGTCTTGTAAAATTTTTAAAGGGCAATTCACTTTTGCTCTTATTTTATCCAAGAGTGATTATCATGTATTAAGCTGCTATTATGTGCCAGGTGCTATGCTAGCAGTTATATGTGTACATTACTCTCCGTGATAATTTAGTAATCAGAAAACTGAATCTCAATACTCAGCTACCAAATGATAGACATTCTCTCAAATGCCCCCACAAGCTCCTAGCTCTTCCAACACAGGGTTAATAGATGAGGCTACTGATAGTTGTTTTTTTTCTTCTTCTGTTGTTATTTTATTATTAATTTTTTTTGGAAGAGCTCTGTATAGAAGGCTGCTCCACCAAATCATTTTTCTCATTAGTTTGCTGAAAATTCCCTTATTAAAGGTTCATTTCCCCAGATTTATGACTTTAAAATTTCAACTGTCCCCTGCTTTATGCCAAAGACCAGTTTTTAACAGCCGAGTATAATAAAATAGCAACGGATTTGACCCTTGAAACCTTGCTTTCAAGTATGAGTTATTTAACCTCTCAGTCTACTTCTTCATAAACTGAGGAGAAGAAATTCATCAGAAGACTTTCAATGAAACTCAGAGGAAAAAAAAAGTGTGTAAAACTGACATGGCAAGAATATGTAAGTCATTATGTGACAATCTAGACAAAACATCTTAACCTGCAAATGGAAATCTACTTGAAAATCATATAGCCTAGTCTACCTACCTGGTAAAGATTGCCTGCTCATTGACTGGCAAGTTGAAGAAGGTTAAAATAATATAAATAGTAACCTGAATTGGGGTGTTGTACCTGCAAGCAACAGATAACTGCAAACTCAAACTTTTTTTTTTTTTTTTTGGAAAAAGGGGACATTTGTTATTCTATATAATAATAATTAAGATGGGCAGAGCATTCCAGGAATCGGCTTCTACTTCACATTGGTCCTGGGGACTAACCTTTTCTATTTTAGGCATCATGCTCTGGTCTGGGAGCAAGATGGCCACACAAATTCCAGCAATCACACTTGGCCACCAACATCAGGCAGGCATGTTCTTGCCTCAGGGCTTTTGTAACTGCTATTCCTACTGCCAGAGATAGCCTTTCCTTGTGGCTAATTTCCCCATGATAGTCACGTCTCTGTCCAAAACTTACTCCACTGACAAATGTAAGTTTTATTTTGTGCACATAGGTACTTTTTGGCACACTAAAGATTATTCAGACATTTAGTCAATTTAAAAAAAAATAGTCAATTTACTAAAGTTATTGCTTTTATAAAATCACATTCTTAAAAAGTTTGACTTATATACTTTATGATTCTATTTATAAGACTAGTAATTATAATGATTACCTTTAAGGAAACTTTGGTTAATATTTGTTCCCTTCAATAATCTTAGTTATGTTCCATTAAATATTTAAGGTGTATTTACAAATTTGATACATTTAATTTGCTCCTCAAGTACTATGTTTGTTTATCTCAAATGAAAAACATTCCCAAAGTAAAGCGATAATTTTTATAAACATGTTGAGGTTTACATGTTAAACAAGTCAGAGAGTAGAGCTGTCTAATAGATTACATTCTCTTTAACATTACTTGTATTACCAAGTACTTGTATTACCAAATATTCATAGATTTTTAAATATAAATCGTTAACAGTATGGGTTTTATGTTCTTGTTCCAAATATTCCTAAAGTTAATTATAAATTTATTGAGGGTTTAGAGATGACTATCCAATAAGGAAATAATTATATAATATTACACAATCTTCAGGAATACCTTTCCAAGTAAGTTTTAAGGGTGCTTTCTCAGCTTGGAAGCCTGAAGTAACCGAAATTTAATAAAACCTGTTCACAGCCCAGAGTTCATGAGGCAGAGGAAAATGTGTTCATGTATGTCACACCTTGTTTTTGAGTAATATCAACATTAATTAATTAATTAATTTTTATTTTTTGAGACAGAGTGTTGCTCTGTTGCCCAGGCTAGAGTGCAGTGGCACGATCTCGGCTCACTGCAACCTCTGCCTCCCGGGTTCAAGCAATTCTGCTGCCTCAGCCTCCTGAGTAGCTGGGATTATAGGTGTCTGCCAATGCACCCGGCTAATTTTTGTAATTTTAGTAGAGACAGGGTTTCACCATGTTGGCCAGGTTTGTCTCAAAGTCCTGACCTCGTGATCCACTTGCCTCGGCCTCCCAAAGAGCTGGGATTACAGGCGTGAGCCACCGTGCCTGGCCAATATTAATTTTTAAGTGAAATTAAAATATCACTTAAAACCCACATAGAAATGGCTGTATTCGTTGAGTGAGTTTTCTTTTTGTCTGCTACATGATATATGAACATACCTTTGCTATATAAATATGAAGATCACAGGACATTAGACAATCCTACATTCTTTCCATATATTCTTGTCTCTTAGGGTTGCACAGCAATTATAGGTATTAAAATAATATCCATTTGTGTTCTAGTCCCACCACCCTCCAACTTTTTTGTCACAACTTCTATGTCCACTTAATATGCAGGGCTTTGCTGATCACATATATTGATACAGGGTCTTTTTCCCACATTCCTTTTTATCACTTTTCCTGGCTTTAGTTTTCTTCATGACCCTTTTAATGGCCTGAGATATTATTTATTGACTTCTTTATGTTTGTTGTATTTGTTTCGTTCCTCTAAAATATGAGCCCTAGGAAGTAGAGTGACTTGGATTTCCTCCTGTATCTCCAATTCCTTGAAGAGTGCCTGGCACATAGGGGTCAATCAAAAATAATTGTTGAAAAGATGAAAGAATGAAAGAGGTCAGATGTGCTTCCCATGCCTATTCATAAACTAATGTATCGGTAGAGGGAATCAGACTGCCACGACTATCTTAGGTTGACATGTATTCTGGAGCTGGAGATGATTTCAATTCCCCGTTATGTGAGTGCAATGGCGGGTCCCCAAACACAATCATGATTCTGTAGGTGAATAACCAAGAATGGTCTTAAGTGATTCTAATAACCAGATTTGGGGAGGAAGAAAAAGGAAACAGAGTTTGTTTTAGGGTGACAAACAGACATACACATGAGTTGGAGGAAAAGATTTCTCCCCCTAAAAGTATTGGCATATCCCAGACAGCCTCACAGAAGAAACCACATGACTGATTTTACCATGCCCTCTGTACTAGAGAATGTAGTTAAGGTGTCTCTTAGTCCAATCTCATAGCTCACATCACAGAGATAAAAAAAGACTAAAACCTTAATTACTTTTACTTGAAATGTAGAAGGAAACCATTCTTATTTTATGTACTGGTTGTTTCACTAGATTTTTTTCTTAGATAAACTATAATAAAGAATATAATTTTCTATTGATAACTCTTCTTTAATGGAATCTTTAATAGCTTAAATACTATAAGGTATAAAGCACTCCATCTCACTTTCAAAGACATTGGTAATTCTATATTGAATAAAAGGTTACTAAGTAATGTAACTGATCCAACTGGCTAATAGAGAACATTAACTGCCTCAAAATCCCTGCAAGAATCAGATAGAAACTATATTAGCCAACACAATATCCATGTCATACTGGCCTTGCAAGCAGTTGCTTGAGTTAGCTGTTCAGTATAGAACACTGGCCTGGGTAGTTTTACTATATTCTCGCTTTAATCAACAGCACCTAAATGCATAAAACTCCTCTGTTGTAAGTCAACTCATCTATCCGTCTCACACAGTTATTAATTCTTAGATTAATAACAACATTGATACAATTATTATCCCTTAATTATGCAATTAGAAAGATGCCATATAGTTCAGACAGGAGACAAACAACAAAGGGGAATTGAATTAAAAAGACTAATTCGTTGACTTTCTCATTACAATACTTGAAAAGAGACAAAAATTTATGTTGATCTACACATTGTCTCTGAAAACAGATGTATATGAAAATGGACTTTCATGGTAAGAGTTAAAGAAAACATACAGTTCTGATTTCAAAAGGAACCTTAAAAAATAAAGTAACTTTGTGTTCTTTTGATAATTCAGGAAGCTTTATCCCAGATGGTTTAAAGTATTTACATACAGTCACATAAGGAAGGGCCTGAACGAGAAGTATGATTTTGACTTCTAATCTAGTGCTCCTGCCTCCCTAATATGCTTGGTAAAAATCCATGGTAAAAATAAAATCTAACTGAAAAATAGATACATATGTGGATACCTCTCCCAGTAAAGAGCTTTCCTTCACTTCGGCTAAGTGTAAATTATGGTAACATATTAATTCAACAAATATTTATTGAATGATGCCATGAGTACTACTCAGCATCATGAATAGAATAACTATTCAAAAAGACAAAAATTTCTCTTGTTCCCCACAAATGTGTGTGTGCTTTATTTGAAACAGCACATATACTCCTATCATGTGATAACTACATATTTACCAAGAAGATATGTAGAAAACAATAACTATCAATGCAGCTATTACTGAGTAACAATTAGATATTCATTATTTACATGACCATAGAAGAGATTGCAAAAGAGTTTAATTACTTCCTAGTAAGATATGAACCCCTTAGATTAGACAGTTATTTTGTATACCTAAATACAAGGAATTAAAGGAAAGATAGATTTTATTACCTTTTCAGAGTGAAAGGACTGTAGTGACTAAGAGATCTCATTTATTCAGCTTCACTGGGAAGTAGTAGCTTCCATATATTTGAATTTCCTAGATCAGGAGATCCATTCACTCATTAATTTGACAAATATTTGTGGAGCACTTCCTATTTGCCAAGTCCTATTCTAAGGACAGAGATAAAGGAGAACACAAGACAGTTTTGCCCTGTGAAGTTATGCACTTAACAGATAAACAGATACATAGATGTGATCAGGACAAGTGCTGTGAAGAAAATTAATGGTGGTAAGAATTTAGGGAGAGCCAAGTCTTTGCTATTGTGAATAATGCCACAATAAACATACGTGTGCATGTGTCTTTATAGCAGCATGATTTATAGTCCTTTGGGTATATACCCAGTAATGGGATGGCTGGGTCAAATGGTATTTCTAGTTCTAGATATCTGAGGAATCGCCACACTGACTTCCACAATGGTTGAACTAGTTTACAGTCCCACCAACAGTGTAAAAGTGTTCCTGTTTCTCCACATCCTCTCCAGCACCTGTTGTTTCCTGACTTTTTAATGATTGCCATTCTAACTGGTGTGAGATGGTATCTCATTGTGGTTTTGATTTGCATTTCTCTGATGGCCAGTGATGATGAGCATTTTTTCATGTGTCTTTTGGCTGCATTAATGTCTTCTTTTGAGAAGTGTCTGTTCATATCCTTTGCCCACTTTTTGATGGGGTTGTTTGTTTTTTTCTTGTAAATTTTTTGAGTTCATTGTAGATTCTGGATATTAGCCCTTTGTCAGATGAGTAGGTTGCGAAAATTTTCTCCCATTTTGTAGGTTGCCTGTTCACTCTGATGGTAGTTTCTTTTGCTGTGCAGAAGCTGTTTAGTTTAATTAGATCCCATGTGTCAATTTTGGCTTTTGTTGCCATTGCTTTTTGTGTTTTAGACATGAAGTCCTTGCCCATGCCTATGTCCTGAATGGTAATGCCTAGGTTTTCTTCTAGGGTTTTTATGGTTTTAGGTCTAATGTTTAAGTCTTTAATCCACCTTGAATTAATTTTTGTATAAGGTGTAAGGAAGGGATCCAGTTTCAGCTTTCTACATATGGCTAGCCAGTTTTCCCAGCACCATTTATTAAATAGGGAATCCTTTCCCCATTTCTTGTTTTTGTCAGGTTTGTCAAAGATCAGATAGTTGTAGATATGCGGCGTTATTTCTGAGGGCTCTGTTCTGTTCCATTGATCTATATCTCTGTTTTGGTACCAGTACCATGCTGTTTTGGTTACTGTAGCCTTGTAGTATAGTTTGAAGTCAGGTAGCATGATGCCTCCAGCTTTGTTCTTTTGGCTTAGGATTGACTTGGCGATGCGGGCTCTTTTTTGGTTCCATATGAACTTTAAAGTAGTTTTTTCCAATTCTGTGAAGAAAGTCATTGGTAGCTTGATGGGGATGGCATTGAATCTATAAATTACCTTGGGCAGTATGGCCATTTTCACAATATTGATTCTTCCTACCCATGAGCATGGAATGTTCTTCCATTTGTTTGTATCCTCTTTTATTTCATTGAGCAGTGGTTTGTAGTTCTCCTTGAAGAGGTCCTTCACGTCCCTTGTAAGTTGGATTCCTAAGTATTTTATTCTCTTTGAAGCAATTGTGTCCAACAATGATAGACTGGATTACGAAAATGTGGCACATATACAACATGGAATACTATGCAGCCATAAAAAATGATGAGTTCATGTCCTTTGTAGGGACATGGATGAAATTGGAAATTATCATTCTCAGCAAACTATCACAAGGACAAAAAACCAAACACCGCATGTTCTCACTCATAGATGGGAATTGAACAGTGAGAACACATGGACACAGGAAGGGGAATATCACACTCTGGGGACTGTTGTCTGGTGGGGGGAGGGGGGAGGGATAGCATTAGGAGATATACCTAATGCTAAATGACAAGTTAATGGGTGCAGCACACTAGCATGGCACATGTATACATATGTAACTAACCTGCACATTGTGCACATGTACCCTAAAACTTAAAGCATAATAATAATTAAAAAAAAAAAAAAGAATTTAGGGAGAGCCTGAGATAGGCACTATTTCAAACAGTTTGGTCATATTTGATTCTTCTCAGAATCAAAACACACTTTTTCATGAGTACTTTACAAAAATATTGCAAATACATAGAAATACTTTGTAAGAATTGGCCCAATATGAATGCTTCAAAAACATAGGTAATTTTAGTGTTAATCTGCAATGAGAATGCAATTTAATGATAACCATTTAAATAAATATATCAATAAAATAAAATGTATATGTTGCAAACAGAATATTCTATCTGAAAAAAAAAGAAATATTCATATCTTCTTACCTCAAGACCATACTCCTAAAATCCTAACAATGTTTTTTATTGCTCCAGAAGTTGAACATGGCCTAAAACACTTTTCTTGGTCTAGTCCTTGGCTAACAGTCAAGTATCATACTTTCACATGCTCTCCCCTTTGTGCTTTCTATGTCTATTAAATATTGTTTGGGAGAGATGTTACAGATTATTAAAAATTGGAGGAAGAAAACATGCAGTGTACATTCTCGTGAAAAAGTGATAGAAAATAAGCATGTTATCAAATTCATAAACACGATTACTACAGATCGTTGTGATGAAGGTGTTATAGAGAAAAATTGGTTTGGTTGGCCAAGGTGTGAGCAGGTACCTGGAGAAGTAATAGAAGACCAGGAGGGAAGGAAGGGCAATATGTAACTATCCTTGGATAGCTTAATTAAAGAAGGAAAGGACGTTTATTGCCCAGACTCATGGAGAAGATAATTCAGGTATAAATAACACAGAGTGCAAAGTCTCTGAGTCAAAAATGTTTATTATTTTACACAAACAGAACTGAGGCCAGTGTTGCTTGATCTTAGGAACTCAGTTGATTTTATGAGGGCATTTGAAAGAAGCAGGTAGGAGCCAGATGGTAAAGGACCTTGTGGGCCATGATAAAAATCTTCAGAATATATTCAGAGTGCAATGGGAGCTATGGAAATATTTTAAGCAGGGGAATGAGGTCTTCCAATTCACATTTTAACACATTTTCACTGGCTCCTATGTAGAGAACGGATTTTGAGAAATAAGGATGGAACACAGAGGAACCACTGGCAGCTTATAAGATGTGTAAGATTGTAAGAATCCAGCTGAGAGATGGTGTAGACTTGACATAACACACAGCTGCAAAGACACAGAATTTATGTCAGCACAAAAGCTTGTGACCTGCTCATGGAGACCCTTTCATCCAAGCCCTAAACAGATATTGATCGAAAAGCAGAACTACAAAAGGAAAGTCAGATCTTTCTTTTCATCTGTGACAGTTGTATTGACAAATTTTGTCTATTTGCAACTGTGTGTTGTGTCAAAAATCTATGTTTTAAAGATTGCTAATGAGAAATCAATGATGCTAAACAGTTCCTTCTGTCAATAAAAAACACAAACATTCACAAATAGTCAAGATGTGTTCGTGTTAGAGTCAACAATATTCTGAATATATTAAACTCTGTATACCCATAATTGCATGGCAGATATAAGAAACTAACAATTGATGGGTTCTCATTATCAAAAATTGAATGACTTCAGATTTATATCGAAAAAAAAAAAGCCCTGTAAATCCTGTAGTGTATCATGCAGATCCCCCACTTCAGAATGAGGCAGTCATTTGTTCATTTGCTGGAAATGTTCCTAAACAAGGACTTACAAGTCAGTTCTTCTCCAGAACTTCCCCTAGGCCGAAGTGAGGTACCTTGTCTAAGGTCCTGTTTCTTCCCTGGGGAGACCATATGCAATGACTTGTCTATGTAAGAGTTTAGACCTTGGTACCTTCTTGCTTCAACTTAGGATCCTGAAGGGCCCTCCTCTCTTGAACTCTGTTGTATTGGCCAAGGTCTTAACGCAATTGGATCACAATTTCTCTTCTGACCAATCCTTTCCTTAATCCATCCAGGCATTTTTATAAAGAACACTCCCTGATATGGTTTTGCTCTGTGTCCCCACTCAAATCTCATCTTGAATTGTAATCCCTACGTGTTGAGGGAGAGGTCTGTAATAACCATGTGTCAAGGCAGAGTGGTGATTAGATCACGGGAGTGGTTTCCCCCATGCTGTCCTCCTGACAGTTAGTGAGTTCTCACAAGATCTGATGGTTTTACAAGGCAGTTTTCCCTGCTCTTGCTCGCTCTTCTCTATCACTCCTGCTGCCATGTAGGACATGCTTCTTCCCCTTCCTCCCTGAGGTCTCCCCAGCCTTTCGGAACTGTGAGTCAATTAAATCTCTTTTCTTTATAAATTACCCCGTCTCAGGTATTTTTTTTTACAGCAGTATGACAACAGAATAATACACTTCCCAAGAAACTACCTCTGTGTAAATATTCAGTTCAGAGTCTATTTTCCATGGAAGCAGACCTAAGATTGAAAATAAGCATAAACTTATCTCAAATTAGTTGTGAGAAGCAAAAATCGCTTCTGGGTCCTCAAGATAATCTAAGTGATTTTTCAGAAAATTACTTTCTTCTTCACACATAATTTGAATTAAATTGGACATTTTGAGCTACTGAGACATTCTACTTAAACTATGGAATTAGTATTTTAAGTACATGTTAAGACATTAATTATTTGTTTAAAAGTTTGATGAAATGTGATGTTTGGCTGTCCTTTATCAAATTAGTAACTCATTTAAATTTTGACCCATATTAGAAAATTTGTAATTACACTTTGTATAAAACCTGACAATGGCTTGCAAAAACTTTTCTGGTTGCAAGTATTTCTAGGAAGAAAGAGGTTGAGAGATTTTCTGCCAGTGCTTAGTGTATTGTGTGGTCTCTGTCTGCTGCCAGAAATTGCAGTGCCTACAGACCTTGTACTCTGGTTGGGTAATTTTTTGCAAAGCATTTTAGTTCACTGTCTGTAGTTGGAGTCAGTGGCAAATTGGGAGAAGAGTTGTTGGAGATTTAGAGACCTCCCGACATTTTTTATTAGTCTTGCTCATACATGAGAATACAATCAAAGTAAATATCTTTTATTTGCTATTTAAGACGGCTTCAACTGGCACCCATTATCCCCTCTTCCACTTTCCTGTTTTCTGTACAGAAATTATTGAGTTACCACTGATCACCATCACTCAGGAAGGCAATAAGCCATGTCATTTTCTTTTTTTTTTTTTTATTATACGTTATGTTTTAGGGTACATGTGCACAACGTGCAGGTTTGTTACATATGTATACATGTGCCATGTTGGTGTGCTGCACCCATTAACTCGTCATTTAACATTAGGTGTATCTCCTAATGCTATCCCTCCCTCCTCCCCCTACCCCACAACAGGCCCCGGTGTGTGATGTTCCCCTTCCTGTGTCCATGAAAACCATGTCATTTTCTATTAAAAGATCCCACTAAATAAGAGAAAAATATCAAAAATTTTACTTACTGGATTTAAGAAATAAGCACTACAGCAATGTGATTAGAAGTATTGTTTTCAAAAAATGTATAAGCATATTTTTCAATTTGATCTAAAGGCCCATGTGATTTAAAAGGAAGAAGACTTTCATTACATCAACAATTGTTCCTAGTCACAAGTATGTCCATCTACAGGGTCAAACCATGCTATCTTTCAGAATTGCTAGCAATCAAAAGATAAACCTGAGTAAAGAAGAGCAAGAAGTGGTTGAGTTTTCCCCCTTCCTGAAAGGACAAAAGAAAAAAACATTGACTTATTCAATCTTCAGGTTTGATGTTTGGACTTTTTGAAGTGTTTGATGCAAGTCAATGTTTCCATCTGCTTGAAAGGAGAGACTTGTTTTAGATGCTAATCTGGCTATGTTCAAATAAAACATGGGTGGAGAATCTGTATGTGTTTTGAGTGTGGTTACTAGTTTCCCATTCACTTGAAAATTACTACCAGTGTCCAAGTTTGTTGTACTACTCAATCTTTCATTAAAATTTCCTGTAGTGCTGGCTCAGAATTGACATTTAGTTAACAAAATTTGTGGAGTCATTGTATTATGGGCACAATGTTCCAGCCATCAGAGAGCTCTTTTGTGGGCACAGTGTAAATATACCCTCTTTAATCTATGATGTGATTAATGACCAGGCTTTGCATTTCATTGTTGCTTTGCATCACTATCAAGAAAAATAAAGCATTCACATTACTTTCCAAAGGTCACAGAAAAGAAGTTATTTTCTTGTTAAGATAAACTTTAATAAACATATTTTAAGCTTGCTTATCTCAGAATATTTATGGTATAGAATTTTAGAACAGTCACAAACAGAAATTTCAATGAAGATTCATATTTAAGCTGGACATTTTTTTTCTTACTGTGTGTTGTGCCTCTGTTGTATATGGCTTAGAAGGGAGAAATGCTATACAAAGTCTTTGAATGTCATCATTGCAAATCATATATACAGCAGTAGAAAATAGACTCTTGGGAATAATATTGCTGTGGTGGGGGAGAGGCAGCACAGGCCAAAGTAATTTAATTTATCTAACCTAAATCAAAATTTTAAGACTCACCCATGAAAGAAGTATATGTATTGCCCCCATTTCTACTTTTTATTTTTCAGGCTGACTTGTGTTCTTGTCTCCCACTCAAATCAATGTTAAATAGAAGGATCATAGTCTGGAAATTATTTGTTAAATAATTTAATAGACACTGTAAAGATTTTTTTTTAGTTTTCTAAATGCCACATGTTATTTTCAGTAACACATACTATTATTTTCAATATGTAGGCATAGAATCTTTTAGAAAATAGATGCCATAATCTAGCAGACCAGATAATGTTGGGTGGCAGTTCATGTTGTTTGAAATCTACCATTACAATCTCACATGGTATTTATTTATTCAAGATGAATAATAAGCTTCATTTCTCAAGGGCAATGCACTAGAAAATGTACATAACATTTTGTCTGCTGATTAACCTAACAGATAATAAAAGAATATGAGCATCATAAAATTTTTAAAAGTGTAAATGAAAAGGTAATACAAGAGGTGGGATTTACAAATCAAAAAATAGAGAGCTAATTGTAATCCACCTTCTATGGCATTGCATTAGGGATAAAAATACAAAATCATTTAAATTAAAACAATGATATTATCTGTATTCAATATTATTTATTTATTTTTTAATCTCAAGAGGTGAAAGTATAAAAATAGCTAAATGCTTGTGGGAATATTAAGATCTCTAAA
Organism: Homo sapiens; assembly: GCF_000001405.40. NCBI lineage: Eukaryota > Metazoa > Chordata > Mammalia > Primates > Hominidae > Homo > Homo sapiens. The sequence goes on from NC_000012.12 coordinate 72,914,462, forward strand.
TTATTTTGAATTTAAATGTAATTTTTACTAATACTATTGAGCAGTGGTAATAATTAGAATGATTTCAGCAAGGTTGGATAGTTGAATAATTAAAGGCACAAGATTAATTTTAGAAGAGGCCTCATTATCTAAAATTAAATATTAGAACCCTTGTAAAAGATAGGAGTAAGAATGGAGAATAGACGGAACCATATTTTAAAGTTATTTAGCCT